>NC_000011.10:101111818-101414848 GCF_000001405.40 Homo sapiens | reverse complement strand
AGTGTTGACTGGAAAAAATGCCTGTGAAAAGTGGGTGTTGATGTCATAGAGCTTCAGGTAAAAAGGGGAGAAGGGCTTAAGCCAGAGAGCAGAGCTGGCTCCCCTGAAATCAGGAGTAAAACATAAGAGGAATCAGGCCACCTTTGGGCCTCTGACTGCTCTCAGTGAAAGAGATCTCTCTGAAGGTTGTCTTTGTACCTCAAGTAGTTAAATGGGCCGCAGTGGATAAATACAGAATTTTAGAAACATAGTGTGGAAAAAGTGACATGGCAAATTAGACTTGAAAGTTGAATAGAGTCACTCAGGTGATGTGCAGAAGGAGTAATATGTATAGCCCCTAGCTAGATATCTGTTTAAGTGGCCAAATTGTGGAACTCCCCTTCTCCTACCCACATAGGACAAAATGAATTGGAGGAAGATATCAGAGAAAGAGGCTACGGCAGAGTGCCCTGCATCCAACTACTTTATATGGCAATATTTTGTACATTGCACAGCCCTCTTTCAAGGCTGTCTAGCAAGAAAATCCAGTAGGGAGAAGTTGCTGAGTAGAAATCACTAGGAGTGGTTGCTGAACAGGGTTAGAAGAGCTCAATGGGGAGCTCGATCTCTCCCATCAGGGAACGGCAACAATGCCTGCACCTCTCCACCTAAGAAGTCCCTCCAAAGAATCTACATAAGTTTCCCTCAACCCCAATAGAAGAATCAGCATTTGAGTGCCTGACACACCAAGAGTTTAGAGGGTCAGTCAGACCCAGAGAAGTCAGACCCAGGGTCAGGCCAGAGAAGCAGCAAAAACCAACAGAGAAAGGACTGGAAGAACCACCAGCACAGTTTAGGGAGAAACAGATGTTGCCTGCCCCTTCCCTGTCCTGGCATAGCCTAGGAGTTCGAACTTTGAAGAGAGAGAAGAATAAAGTATTCCAGATGCATATCCTACATCCTGCAGCCTCATCCAAGCAGAGAGCTCAAGAACAGGGCTCTCTCTCCCAACTCCATACACTTGACTTACAAAAGGAAGAGTGAAGGAGATTAGATTGACCCTTAATAGGAAATTGCCCTTTTAAACTTAATGGACTTTTAATATACTAATATGACTCAGGTGTTAAGAAATCTGCCCAAAATGTCATGAAGGATCCTGCTTCTAAGCAAGGAAAGGAGAGCCAATACTGACCATCAGGAGTGAAAGGAGAAAAAAAAATTTTTTTTCAAGGTTATACCCCACCAAATGGAGATACTGCAAGAAGCTAGTTATAAGAATTTGAAGTTTTCCTCAAGGCAATGAGAAGACATTGCATTTTTTTTTTAAGAAAGAGGGTGCTCTGATCATATTCACATTTTAGGGAGATTGCTTGGTACAATATGGAGAATGGGTTGTAGGTGAGTATGTCTCCGTGTGTATACCTGGCGGGTAGGGGAAGAGTTTGGAAATTAAGATAGAAGGAGGCAGACCAGTTAAAAGGTGTAGTAGTGTCTATGTAAATGGAGACAAGTAGACAAATTTTGACATAAAAAATGGAAAAGTCCTTTGGAGTTAGGTAGATACCAGAGCAAAGGGAAGGGAGAATGGACACAATAACACCCATACTTCCAGCTTGAGCAATTGAGTACTATTAACCTAGATGAGGACCATCAGGGAATAGCGTGTTTGAGCACAAGATATGATTTTAATTGTAGACAGGCTGACTTGAGGTGTTTGTGGGATGGTCAACTGGAGATATTTAGTAAGCAGCTGTATATACTGATCTGAATTTCAGGAGGAAAGGGCAGGATTTGGGTGGGAGATAGAGACTTTAGGGACCTTAGCTAACACAAAATAGTAAAAAAAATTAAATTAAAAAAGGAATGGATAAGAGTTATCAGGAAGAATGAGAAAATAAGAGGAACTTCGACAGAACCTAATAAATATCAGCATTGAAAGGGTGAATAGTAAAAATGAGGTCAAAAGGAAACTCTAACAAGGGTTGAGAGAGAGCTAAGAAGAACATTAGGGAGTATGTTGTTATCAAAAGAAGAGATGGTTTTGAGACGGGTAGTTCCCTTGACCCCTTGCAAAGGGGTTGGCTTGTTTACTCAGCCTGCAACTCTCAACACCTCACAGGAAGGGAGCACACAGGTAAGCAGGTACAGGGGCTTGGATAGGTGCTTCTGGGCACCAGCAGGAATAGAACCCTGTCAGGCCCCATGGCAGCATCTAGGGGAGTACCCGTGACCCCTGGAGCCCGAGAGGGCATCTGTTACAGTGTACTCTTTTAGCTTTGCTTAAATGTTTAACAGCTCAGTGGAGGGTCAGGGTAACAACCTTTTGCACTCACCCTCTTGGTACCCGAGTTGTTGTCTGGCATCCAGGAACAATCAGGTTGCATGAATGAATTGAAGGGTGGTGAATGTGGAAGAATTTATTGAACAGTGGAAGTGGTTCTCAGTGGTATGGCGAGCTGGAAAGGGGATGGAGTGGGAGGGTGGTCTTCCCCTGGAGTTTGGACATCCCTGGCCAAAGTCTTCTCCAAAGTCCTGTTGATAAGCCATCCCTCTGAAGTCAAGCTGCTTCTCTCTGACATCTGGCTGCTTCTTCTTTTCTCTCTTTCTCTGCTGCTCCACTCTGCCACTCAGCCACTTTGCTGTCCCTCTGCCAGTAGAGCCTCAGGTTTTTGGGGGTACATGATGGAGGGTAAGGCAGGCCAAAAAGTAACATTTGAGCAGGAAAACAGGAATGCATGTTCTCACTTTGGGCCATGGATTCAGGCTTGAGGGTGGGGCTTCGCCAGGGACCCCTCCCCTTTTCTGCCTAGTATTTCCCTGCCTCCTGTCCATATCAGTTTCAGGATGGGAGAAGGGTTGTTTAGCACTTAAAGTTAAGGAAATATTTGAATGGAAAAGTGACTTTGAACATCATTGGTGAACTTGAAAACCAGTCTCAATGAAGTTGAGGAGCTGAGGCCAGATTATAGAGGGTTTAAGCATGAATGAAAGGTGAAGAAGTGATAATAGATACAGAAAACCACATTATAGCAGCTGGAAGTGTATTATTTTGGAGAGAATTTATTATTCTTAAGATAGGGGAGACATTTAAGCATAATTAAATCCTGATGGGCCATAAATTGAAAGAGGCAAGGGACTGGTAAAGCAGGAAAGCAAGTCACCTACGGAAATGAAAGGAGGTACAGGAGTACGGACAGAGAGTTTATCCTTAGGCAGGAAGGCAATATGTCTTATTTAACAGACAAATAATAAAGAATACTGTGTGGACTCCATAACTATGTGAGTTTGGTGGGAGAGTGTATCAGGAATTACCATTAGCTGGCTTTAATTTTCTCTTTAAAGTCAGAGACAAGGGAAATTCTTATTTCCAAACCATTCGGTGCCTTGTTATCCCTTGATCATTACTTCTGTCTCTTTTCTCTTCCCAACATTTACATGGAGCTCTTTATAATTTTGCATGGATTTCAAAAACATTATCTCTTTTTTTCTAGGGTGACCATATAATTTATCTTCCAAACTGAGACAGTTTAGAGAGCGAAGGAAACATTAACACTTAAGCCAGGCAACAGACTATGAACTGGTTCTGTTCTGACCAAACAGGGATATAGGGCCAATCCTATTATATGTATATTTCCTTTTCTCAAAGAACTTTCCCCAGACCTAACTAAATCATAGCTGTTCTAGAAGATACAACTTCTTCTGAAGGTACTTCTATGAGGGCTGCTTATTCTCTTGCATTTTACATAAAAAAAGGTCAGAAGGTGAGGCAGCATCCTTCAAATTCTCAATGATGCTTTCATGGCTTAATTCCATTACTGCTTGAGGCTTATAGATTTGGCTTCTCATCATTTTGTCTGTCACTAACCACTCCCATGGTTATACATTAGAACTTGATCTTGTCTAAATTTGTTCTACTTGGAGATTTTAAGCCCTGAATCTTTTTCTAAGATATCAATCATTTTAACAATCCTCTCATAACCTTACAACGACTACAGATCCTCTGCATCAGCATGACTTAACAGAATAGACCTTCTTTTCATCACGTTGATGGTTAAATGCTCATGGAACAGTTTATAAAAACTTACCAAAGTTTAAGTCACCAAAAATTCAATAAATTTACCAAATTAGAAATTATCTGACCAAAATGCAATATAATCAGAAAATAATCCCAATGAAAAGAACAAAAACAAAAAACCCATTACTTCAAATTTTTAAAAAATCTCCTAAATTCAGATATCTTCAAAGATAAAAAACAAAATTTCACAATGTCTAAAAGATACTAATATTGAATTTACTATATATAAAAATATTAAAAAATATAAATATGACTAAATCTATGACTGAAGAAATTCATAGCTTGAATTTGAGTGTCTGTATAATTTATAGTAAGCATTCAACTCAAGAAGACAGAAAAGGGCCATAAAATGAATCTAAGCTATAAAAAGAAAGGAAAAATAACAAATTAGAAATTGCTATAAAATAAAAAAAGTAGGATCACTAATATACGTGTGATGTGCTTTAAAGGTACACAAAATAAAACAGATAAGATACTAGCTAATCTAAGAAAAAAGGAAAAAGGCACAAAGACAAAAAATGAACAATAAAAAATAAAGTGGGTTTTATCAGGAATTGGTAAGAGTAGCTTACAAAATATGCCAAAAGATCTGAATAGCTCAATGAGATGACTGGACTCCTAAAGAAATACAAATTATCTATTGCTCATTAGGTCATTTTGATGACTTTTTTATTTCCTGTAAGGCCATAGATCTGTTTCAGTTTTCTAAGAGGTAATTCCTAATAAAAGACCAACATAGCCATTAAAATGTTTAAACAGAGGAGTGAAGAGATCAAAATTGAATTTTAAGAGATCACTTTTATCCTCTAGCCATGCCATTCCTTACTCTGTAGCCAGGGAGAATGTCAGGACACCAGTTAAGAGGCTATTACAAGACACCAAAGAAGGATGTTGGTGGCTTTGACTGGTGGCTGTAACTGAGAGATATCCACAGATTCAAAATGTAGTGAGCAGAAACATGATTGGTGATTGATAGAGGGAAGGGATGGGAACTGCACACAGCAAAATGATCATATTCATTTCCTCACTTGTCTCTCCCCTTCGTCTTTGTAGCCCCAGAACCTAGCATAGTATCTGTCCCATGTTACAAGTATTCTGTGAACTGTCCATCAGTTTACTCAACACATCTTTATTTCCAAATGACACTGAGGAAATATTGATTTACCTTCTGAGTGTTGCTATTTAGACAGTAAAGGTTACAAAAAATTGTCTACATGGGAAATTGCTTAGGAAATGAAGAGATTTGAATAAACTCACCATGACTCTTGATTTGCAATCAAAAGGACTATGGTGGATGCATTAGTAACATCCTAAGAACTCACATTATGTGAATGACATTCGGGTGGCCATTTTCCTCAGAAAAAGTCTATTAATTCAGATGTGTGACTCTGTTCCCAAAGACTGTAGAAAATATCTTTTACTTTGTTCATGCTTGGTAAAAGCATAAGCCCATATAAATGAATTTGAAATGAATTCTGGGATTTTTAAAAGCATACCAGAAGTACGTAATGACAAAGCATATTAAAAATCCAGTAGACTGAGATTGTACAAGCATATCATAAATCTCAAATTGTAGTCAAACTTCCTATTCAAAAAAAATTTCTAATCTTCATAATTGAAAGTCTCTCTGACCCAGACAGAGTTCCTTCCATTACATGAGTTTGCTTCCATTACATGACTATCAGAGCACTTACACATTACATAAAAATGATTGGATTTTCGGTCAGCATCCCCTCAAGTGAGTTTGAACTTCCTAAGGACAGCAGCCATGCCTTATTTATTTTTATGTCTTCATGGGTGATATTTGGCACACACCAGTGTATAATAAATAATGAATAAATGAAAATCTGTGCTAACTGCTACTGAAAAATAAAAGCCTTTGGAATGCCAAAAAGTAGATGAGTTAAAATTAATATCCAGTTTTAAAATGCTTCTGTTCTTTCAACTGAGTTGAATTCATGTTTACTGCTCACCTAAGACTCATCTTTTGTGATGTAGTTACCCAATTCAATTTTTTTGCCCAAGGTTTCTCAACCTCGGCACTGTTAACATTTTTGGATGAATAATTCACTATTGTGAGGAATTTCCCTGTGCATCATGGGATGTTTAGCAGCATCCTTAGACTCTACCCATTAGACACTAGTAGCACCCTCTTATTGTGAGAATAAAAATGTCTACAGACAATGTCAAATGTCCCCTGTGGGGTAAAAATCACTCTAAGTTGAGAACTACTGCTCATGTCTGCCTTGGATTTTATCCACAGAGGGAAAAGAAAAACAAAAGCAAATCCTTGTCTAAGACAGGCTAATTGGCATGTACCAAGTTATGTGACTCAAAGGTTACAATGGGAATAAAGGCAATTCTAAACGTTTATGGTGGGAATTACGTGTGATAAAATAGGTAAGCATCCTTGATAAATTTTCTAGCACATACTGGGTGTTGGAAACACTTGTTGATTCTGAATGCTGGTGTGTGATGACTCTGGAAAAATGTGTAATTTAGCAAAAACTAACTGACAAACATGAGACATTTGGGGTTTGCTGTCAACATGTTCAGCTGCAATGATATGGCTTTATTAACATGTGAATTTTTTTAAACTTTGTTCTTTATCTTGTGTTACCGTTTATAAAAAGTAGAATGATAGCTTTGATTATTTTTAATTAAATTATTCACTTTGACCAAATTTTTAATCTGGCATTGTTCTTCTAAAATTTATTTTGACATAAATAGAGCCTCACTGTCACCAAAGTCAGCATTTGACAGGAAACCATTTCTTGAACTTAAATACATTAAATCTTCTAGAATGCTTTAGCTATCTTTAGTTTTGACTTTGAATACAAAGGGAATTATGATTAAGAATTAAACCCAATTTTACATATATGTGTTGACAAGTCACTGAAGAAGATATTAAATAATTAAACAAAGGAACACTGTCCTCTAAATTTTGTCTTTCAAAATCATTTTTTTCTCAAATCCAAACATTTGCATTAATCAAATCTTAAACGAGAAGCTTTTAAAAAAGTACGAGTGAACTACATGGTATTTTCTAGGAACTTGAATGCAAAACAATTTCACAAACTAGATATATGGCTTAAGTGGCAGATTCTGCCCCTTAAGCCTAAACTGGAATGGGAAAGGTCAGGGTGTCCTAGAGAACAGGTCTCCATGGCCCTGGGTATGCTTTCATTTTGCTGTGGGAGAAAGAAAGAATAAAGAACTGTTCTCTCCTCCTTAGAGGAAAGGCAGCTCATCCCTTGGCAAGCCTGCTACATTCCTCCTGGTTTTGAAACAGCCCACATAAGGTCCTGGAAGTCTTACCAACCTTGGACTTCTCTGTGAGCCTGAGACACTTTTAAGATTGTTTTAGAGACCGGAGCCATACACAGGCTAAGAGGCAGCTGCCGACTCCTGCACAAGTATTATTTGGGTGTTCAGATTTTGACAGTCTATACTATAGAGTGAATGCCTGTGTCCTTTCAAAATTCATATGGGGAAATCCTAACTCTGAAGGTGATGGTATTAGGAGGTGGGATTTTGGGGAAATGATTATGTCATGAGGGAAGAACTTTCATGAATGAGATTAGTTCCCTTATAAAAGGGACCCCAGACTGATCTCTCACCCCTTTTGCCATGTAAGGATGCAGGGAGAGGGCATTATCTAAGAACCAGAAAGTGAGCCCTCACCCGACACAAAATCTGCCAGTGTCTTGAGTTTGGACTTTCCAGCCTCCGTTTATTTCTCTGTGAGAAATAAATTTCTGTTGTTTCTAAGCCACCCAGTTTATGGTATTTTGTTACAGCAGCCTGAACAACTAAGACACTTCACCACCACCCCAGCCCCCCTCCCCTTTTAAGCCCTCAAACTCCATCCGACTCCCCACCTTGATGCAGGTGCTTTAAAAATGGTTTCCTCAGTGCTGCCTTAGGGATCTTCTGCAAGCCCCACTCTTCCCAGTCCCACCACTGCTCTAGATGCTGCTACAGATCTGGTCCCTGCTGTCTGCCAGCTCTATGATCATGACTTCTTGCTTCTCATGGCTAACCTTATCAAGGAGCCTCGTTTCGTTTTTTTTGCAAGTACAGAGACCACAATTGCCTGTGGTCGAAGACTTACTCCTTTGGAAGGTGACATGTATAAGAATTTGGAAAAGAACTATACAGAAGGACTTGCATACTTACAGAATATATCTTCGTTAGCAGGCAATGAGAATCTAAGACTCACTTTTGCAATCATCAATACTGGAAGTTGTGTCCACATTGATCTAAGCTTAAGGCAGAACGAGTACCATTCTCACTTTGAGATGTAGTTTCAGAGGAAAACAGCACTATTACTTGTTAATGTGTTCTGCAGTAACCATAAAAATACCTGCATGAGGCACCCTGGGAGCTGGAAAGATACCTCTTGCCAGCAGCTGGATTGAAGCTACATTCTGCAGCAGGACTGTTTGTTTGCAGAACAAATGAACTGGAAAGAATGATGAAGGGGGGACTAATAATTATAATTAATAATATCTGTAGATAATGTTTTAGTGAATCCTCATATAATCCTTTAAATAGGTATATGATTATCCCTATTTGAACCAAAGCATAGAGTTGTTAAGAAGCTTGCCGGTTTTCTGACAGCTAATAAATAACAGAGGCATGATTTAAAACTAAGTGTCGGATTCCAATGTCAGTGTTCTCCACCACCAGGCTCTTTTGCTGTAGACTACTTAAGTTCATTTAAGTCCTAGTTCTTAGTTGTCACCTCAGCTTGCTTTGCCTTGGTTACTTCACTCATTTACAGCATATGAAATTTGCTAAGAGAGTAGATCTTAAGTGTCTTCACTGCACACAGACACACACACACAAAATGGTAACTATGGGTGTTGATAACTGTATTAATTTGACTGTGATAATCACTTCACAGTATATATATATATGCTGTATATATATTTATAACATATAAAATATATTTATATCTATAGTACAAATCTAATTATATGTATATAAATATGTATTTTATACATATATTTATATAAATATATAAATAAATATATAATTATATATTATATATTGCATATAAATACACAATATAAAATATAAAGAAATATAAAATACATTAAAATTTTTATATAGATATATAATATAAAAATTTATATAAAATCTATATTTATATAAACATATATAATGTATTTTATATATCAATATATTTATACTATACATATATACTGTGAAATGATTATCACAGTCAAATATATTTATATATTTAAATTAAAAATATATTTCTATATTTCTATATATAATTATATAAATATATATATATATACTGTGAAGTGATTATCACAGTCAAATTAACACATTTATCACCGCCCAGTTACCATTTTGTGTGTGTGTCTGTGTGCATGCGCGGTGAAGACACTTAAGATCCACTCGCTTAGCAAATTTCATACCCTGTAAATAAGTGAATACGTATATATATATATATATATATATATATATAATCATCACATTGTACACCTTAAATACATACAATTTGTATTCGTTAATTATATCTCAATACAGCTGGAAAACATAAATTATAAAATAAATAGGCAACACCTTCCTCAGAAGACTGTTGTGGAAATGAGAGAGATAATGGATGTGGGAGGGAAATATTTCAATTTTAGGATATCTCATTGTTATGGCAAGATGTAGTGCATTGTTGAGCTTATGGTAATACTGTGGAGTGGCTTCCAAGAGATGCTTTTCGCAGCTGAATTTAAAAGAATATTTCTCTATCTTTGTGACCAGATCTTTTAGAAATTCAATTTAGGCAACATATTATTTTGTGACACAGTTGAGTTTCAAATAAAACAACTTGACATGGGTGTTGCCAGTCTGGATTTATAGTCAATTTGTCACTGTGATCTTAAAAGAGGAAACAGCGTAGGTTGGAACAACATCTGACATGTTTATCATGGGAAGTCATATGTTAACAAAGAACTTGGGGCTTCAGTCAAGGTTTGTATTTGTACAAAGAACCAAACTAATGCTATTTAATAACCTTTCAGGAAATTGGATACTAATGTTTTATTAATGCTGCAATGATTCTGAAAAAACTACCAGGCACTGGAAACATAAAATGAACAACTCCCGGAAATAAGAGGTAGAATAAGAGTGGTTGAAAAGAAATAATGAGGCTTGAGGGCTGGTCTGTGTGAAGGTTATATAAGTGCCATTTGCATAGGCACAGAAGGATTTTCCTTCCAGAAATTTGCTGCAGTTATTACAATGTCTAAGATTCTACTATTAGAAAGCCTTTTTTGGTCTAAGTGTCCATCTCTTCCTGCCCTTCCATTGTAAAAGGAAAGTCCTTATGAAGGGGAGCCCAAGAGTCTGTGAGCGATTTATTAAGTTTCCCAGATTATTTTCTGGAAAAGAATCATATAATGGAAATAGAACTTGTTTTCAAGTCAAACATAGCAACTTCATTTCAAATTTCAGCCTTGCCACTTTCTAGCTTTGTGAGTTTAAGCAAGTTTCTAGCTTTGTAAATGTAAGCAAGTTGCAAAACCATTCTGAATCTCAGTATTCCTCAGTATAACAGTAAAAATAGTTAACAACATTGTATACCATTTCAGGTAATCTCACAACTTACTCTGGGGGCTGCATGTAGATCTGAGTCTGCCATATAGGAAGCCCTAGACAAATCATCACCTCTCCACACATGTTCACCATGATTATTCAGGTTTGATGTCAGAGGATGAAAGAAAAAAAAAGTAGCGAGCTAGAAATGGAAATTACCTTAGGAATAGTCATATTAGTTATACTTAACCAGGCCGGGTGCGGTGGCTCATGCCTGTAAACCCAGCACTTTGGGAGGCCCAGGTGGGTGGATCACGAGGTCAGGAGATTGAGACCATCCTGGCTAAGACAGTGAAATCCCATCTCTAAAAAAAAATACAAAAATTAGCCGGGCATGGTGGCGGGCACCTGTAGTCCCAGCTACTCAGAAGGCTGAGGCAGAAGGATGGCGTGAACCCGGGAGGCAGAGCTTGCAGTGAGCCAAGATCACACCACTGCACTCCAGCCTGGGTGACAGAGCAAGACTCTGTCTCTAAATAAACAAACAAACAAACAAACAAACAAACGTAACCAACATCCTCTCTCTTGGGTTATTACTCTAGCTTTGGGAGTATTCTTGGCTGCCAAGAAGAGATAAAGATCTTCCCCTAGGAAAATGCTGGCATCTACTTATGATACCACCATTCCCTGTCCCCTCCTCCTTAGGCTGCAATGAGTGTCAAAGCAAGTATGCAAATCTTGCTTTCAACCTTACACAGCACAGTGGTAGCCTGACCCTTTCGAGAGCTGAGAGCAACACCATTTAGCTCCCATCAAACCCAGCACTGTATTTGTGCTCTTAAAAAGTCAGTCATGTAGGTGCTACAGAAACAGTAGTAAACATGACAGCCTGTCACTTAAGTAGCTCACATTCTGGTGAGAGAGAGGGGACAGAAAATAAACAGGAACATATCAGAAACTGGAATTATTTCTTTTAAAGTGATTAAATAATTTGGGCACTGAGATGGAGAATAACAGAAAAAGTCATTTTCTAAATGGGCCAGTCAAGAAAAATGGTATTTCAACCTAAAAGGAGCAAGTATTCAAAGGGCTGGAGAAAGAGCAGTCCAGGTGGAGCTTGGTGGGAAGAGCTTGGTGCATGTAGTAGAAACTCTAAGGGATTGTAGGTAGTCTGGGGCAACAACAGTTGGGGAGGTAGAGAGATGGTTTAGAAATGCAAGCCAGAGGAGAGAGAAGCATTCCTCATAGTCCTCTTGCCTTCATTCAACAAGGTAGATGGGAACATCTTCACAGGAACCTCAGGCCAGGATATTTGGTTCTTGCTTGAAGTTGGGTTCCAGAGGAGAAAGGTCTCTAGTATCAACTGCTGCATCTGTTTTCCCTGAAGATGCCACAGTGAAGGTAGAATGAAATGGGGCTTCCTTGTCCCTTCTCAACTTCTTGAATGAGCCCACTTTAGCGAGAGAGCCTGTCCTTCCCTTCATCTCCAAGACTGAGGTTTAAGGACCTGTTCAGTAAAGTCATCAAGGAGATCAAGCTGACCCTCTAATGTTCCTGAAGTTTTTTTCTCTCCTTGTGTCCATGTGCCCCAAATTACTCCATTTACACTGACCGACTGTCCTTGGCTACTATCCTAAATCTGCTATCACAGGGCAATTTTCAATAACCTACAATCACCCATTCCTACTGACCACATTCCTATCAAATCTCTTTCCCCTAAAGAAAAATATTATCTTGGCTATGGTTGTTGCTGGGGGTGGGAGTGGAGAGATGCCTTGTTAAAATAAATAGCACTGAGGGGGTATAAATAACTCAGTTTCCTCTTAATACCTCCCAAAGATACTTAAATTCTTGGAGAATAGCTTAATACACACAAGATAACCATTTTCTGATGACAGAATTCTAGAAAAGATACGCTGACTTTCTATGTCTTATGAATCCATGAAATATATAAAAATTTTAAAATGCACTAAGTCAAATGGGCTTCTCTTGATACATACTCATGCAATAAATACTTAGGTCTATCATGGCATACGTTTTATAGTCAATTGAAAGTGTTATTGACCTAAAATTTATGAGTGTTCTATTAAAGAATGCTGACAACAAGAAGAAGATTTTTAAAAGTATAGCAGTAAAAATACTCCATAATATAATAATAAAATTCCATTTTTAAATTTTGTGTTCAGGGGTACATGTGCAGGTTTGTTACACAGGTAAACGTATGTTGCTGGGGTTTGTTGTACACATTATTTTGTCACCCTAGTATCCAGTAGTTATTTTTCCTGATCCTCTCCCTCCTCTCACCCTGCAGCCTCGAGAAGTTCCCGGTGTCTGTTGTTCCCCTTTGTGTCCATAAGTTCTCATCATTTAGCTCCCACTTATATAAGTAAAAACATGCGATATTTGGTTTTCTGTTCCTGTATTAGTTTGCTAAGGATAGTGGTCTCCAGCTCCATCCATGGTCCCACAAAAGACATTACCTCATTCTTTTTTATGGGTGCATAGTATTCCATGGTATATACATACCACATTTTCTTTATCCAATTTGTCACTGATGGATATTTAGGTTGATTCCTTGTCTTTAATATTGTGAATAGTGCTGCAGTGAACATTGGTGTGCATGTGTATTTATGGTAGAATGATTTATATTCCTTTGGGTATAAACCCAGTAATGGGATTGCTAGGTCAAATGGCATTTTTGTGTTTAGCTTTCTGAGGAATTGCCACACAATCTTCCACAATCACTGAACTAATTTACACTCCCACCAATAGCGTATAAGCATTTCCTTTCTCCACAGATTACCAGCATCTGTTATTTTTTGACTTTTTAATAACAGCCATTCTGACTCATGTGAGTGCTATCTCGTTGTGGTTTTGATTTGCATTTCTCTAATGGTCAGTGATATTGAGCTTTTTTCTTATGCTTATTGACTGCATATATGTCTTCTTTTGAAGAGTGTCTGTTAATGTCCTTTACCCACTAATCAATGGTGTTGTTTGGTTTTTGCTTGTAAATTTGTTTAAGTTTCCTATAGATGCTGGATATTAGAGCTTTGTCAGATGCATAGTCTGCAAATAGTTTCTTTTGCTGTGCAGAAGTTATTAAGCTTTATTGATCTAATTTTTCAATATTGCTTTTGTTGCAATTGCTTTTGGCATTTTCGTCATAAAATCTTTGCCAGTTTCTATGTCCAGAATAGGATTGCCTAGGTTGTCTTCCAGGGCTTTTGTAATTTGGGGTTTTACATTTAAGTCTTTAATCCACCTTTAGTTGATTTTTGTATATGGTGTAATGAGGGTCCAGTTTCAATCTTCTGTATGTGGCTAGCCAGTTATCCCAGCACCATTTATTGAACAGGCAGTCCTTTCCTCATTGCTTGGTTTTGTCAGCTTTGTTGAAGATCAGATGGTTGTAGGTATGCGGATATTGCAAAACGGAAGAAAGAGATCTGGTGTTTTGTTTTCCAAATAGCAAACAGAATACAAAAATTATAAAGTATATATTTGGCAAAGAATTCTTTATGAGAAATTTTATGTATTTGGTGAAGAATTCAGATTCTTTATGCTACAGAACACAGCTATAGAAAGCAAACAAAATGCAAGAATTAGAAAACTATATATTTAGTAAAGAATTCTTTATACATAATTGTATTTTTTGGTACAGAATTCAGATTCTTTATGCTATAGAGCACAGTTAAAACACATCCAGCAGAATGAGAACAAAGTTTATGTAGTGCCACTCACACAGTGAGATGGTAGCAGGGCTCAGAGGACAACTCTAAACCTAATTTGAAGATTTTTATAGAGTTGGCTGAGTAGCATGACCCAGAGATTAAATTGAGTTAGGATTTTGACCAGATTTGATTTCTGATGACAATGTAAGAGACGACTGGGAACAATGCTGAAAGGAAGAAGCTTATTCCTTAAACCAGCTAGTTTCACATTTTTCTTCTAACAGCCCATCTTACCCTTCATTCTGGGATTTTCTGTTCATGAAATTTTGCCTCATTTTGATTTGGAGCATAACTGCATCCATTCTTGAAAGATTTATCATCTAGCATAGTTCCTAAGTACTTGGATTTAAACGTCTTTTCTTGTGCCAGAGTATTCTTGCTTTATATGTCTTTTAATTCTCTGCCTTAATATCCCTACAAATTTTACATTTTGTCATTTTATTCTAAAAAAATTATGTTTCATTTTCCCAGGGAAATCTCATTTCTCTGTCTCTGAATGCTCAGGGTCTGAGCATCTCTTCATCATATGGGACATTCATCACCATGAGGTATCTCATTTCCTGAAATTCGGGCTATTGATCTAAGGAAAAAGGCCAAAAATCAAGTTGAAAGCAAATCACTAATACATTTTAAGGATGTATCACAGTTTTCTTGTATAAAGTTGTTATGCTACTTACTACAATTTCTGTTTTTTATATAAATAGTGGAATTTCCAATGTCCTATGGAAATTCCACACTGAATAAAGAGATGCTCCTATGTTTAAATTACTTATAGTTTTTAAAAAAGACAGCTTACGTTCCCTATCATATTTTCTGGGGGCTAAGTCTGTTTAGACATAGCTCTAGGCACCAGAATTAGTCTGGATCAACTCTAGCGGGGTCATCACTGCCAGACATGGCTCCTCTCTCTCCATTTAAGTCCTTAACAAATGGATATTATTGTAATAATAAAAATTATTATTTACCATGCACTGTGTTAAATGCTTTATTGTATCCCATTTAATATTTACAACAGATGCTTTGAAGTCTTTTATTCATGCTACCATTAGGGAAAACGAGGCTCATAGAAGTTAAGTAACCTGCCAGAGGTCACACAGTTTGAAAGTAATACAATTAAATTAATTCAGTATCCCTCAAGCTTGTACTTTATCATGTGATCTCTCTGGAGGCTGGTATTCCAGATACCAGAGTCAAAGTCATATTGGTTTCAGGAACTTAGTATTACATAAATTTCAGTTTCCTCCTTGTGTCCTTAATGCCCCATTATAGTCCTGTAACTCTCATATGCAACAGGAATCAATTTTCCACTCTTAGTAAGTTTAAATCAGACCTAAGGCACACTCCTTAAGTCTGTTTTCATTCAGTCCAATTTGTTCACGCTCAAGATAAAACTGCCTCATTCAACAAGGTTGAGTATTTGCTCCATGAATCCTCTTGTTTTTTATTCATAGTTTGCCCATCAATTAAGATACATTTTGCTACAGGAAGCCATATCCAAACTGGCATTAAAGAAATGTATTCTTGCACATAACAAGAAAGCTACACATTGTGTGGACTCCAAGCTTGTTTGATCCCCAACACTGTCTTCAAGGACATAGGCTCTTCACATTTCTTCCTCTCTAATAAAATGGCAGGAGCAGTTCCAGGAGTTACCTCCAGAAACAACAGGGTCCTGGGAAAGAAGAGAAACCATCCCTCCATATAGACCTCTTTATAAAGCTTATTGATAATGAAACTTGTAGAAAGTGGGTAGAAATATTACTATTGGCTGGAAGGTAATGGATGTTGGACAATCCAGAACAACGTCTGCTTCAACTTGTGGACCACTTCTACCTAGAAATAACTTACACTTAACAAAGTGCTCCCACATATATGATTGTACAACAGTGCTGTTGGGTGGATATTACTAGGCTTCTAGTTTTACAGCTGTAGGAACTGAGGCTCGGAGAGGCAAGTGTCTGTCCACGATGAAAGTGCTAACACAGTGAACTAGACCTGAAGTCTGTGCTCTTTCCACTCAAAAGAAGAATACATGTGATTGTGTATTTTCATACCCTTTAGTGATTATCCAATTTCTGAAGCAAAGGTTCTCAACCCTGACTTTGCATTAATACCAAAACAATAGACAAACAAACACATAAGTAAATAAAAACTGGGGAGCTTTTAAAAAATCCTGATGCTATGCCCTGTTCAATACAAACTAAATAAAAATCTTCAGAAATGGAATCTAATTTTTTTTTGCAAAGCTCCCCCAGGGGATTCATATGCAGCCAAGATTTGAATCATAGTTTTAAAAATAAAAGCCAAGCTGTTTTACTTAAAACTTATCATGATCTGACCTCTCTTTCCTGTCTCACCGATGGGCCTAGTGCGTCAACAAGCTGGTCCCCTTGAGGATCTATATTCCAACAGTACAAGATTGTTCCTGAACTCCTGCATATACTAGGCTGTTTCATGATTCTGAGCCTTTGCATCTATCTATCTATCTATCTATCTTTTTACAGGAAATGTTTGTTCTATCACTACATATTCCCCATCATAGCCACCTAAAAAACTCCAATTAGCCTTTCAATTGCAGCTCATACATAACATCTTCTGGGACATCTTTCTAGACCTCTCCTCAATAAATAGAGATTATCACTCTCTCTGCTTCTTCCTCATTTTTCATTTACATGTCCCAGGGAAATACTAAAATCATGTATCAAAAAAGTGAAATTGCCATGTCCCAATGGACCGTAAGTTTTTTAAGGACAGGGACAGCATTTTATTTATCTTGGTGTCCTAAGAACTTAGCTTGACGACTAGTACTTGGGCAACACTTAATAAATGTGTGTTGAATTAATTTCTTTTACTTTTTACTCACTTTCAGAAAAAATTTTCTATTTCAATTATTATTTTATTTTCACAAAGCTTCTTCTCATCCAGACATTCATCTTAAAAAAATAAAACACGCTAGAGAAGCAAGAGTAAACAAATTCAAAAGCTAGTAGAAGACAAGGAATAACTAAGATCAGGGCAGGACTGAAAGAGAGACACGAAAAACCCTTCAAAAAAAATCAATGAATCCTGGAGCTGGTTTTTTGAAAAGATTAACAAAATAGATAGACTGCTAGCCAGACTAATAAAGAATAAAAGAGAAAAGGATCAAATAGACACAATAAAAAATGATAAAGGGGATATCACCACTGATCGCACAGAAATACAAACTACCATCAGAGAATACTATAAACACCTCTACGCAAATAAACTAGAAAATCTAGAAGAAATGGATAAATTCCTGGACACAACACCCTCCCAAGACTAAACCAGAAGAAGCCAAATCCCTGAATAGACCAATAACAAGTTCTGAAATTGAGGCAGTAATTAATAGCCTACCAACCATAAAAAGCCGAGGACCAGATGGACTCGCAGCCAAATTCTACCAGAGGTACAAAGAGGAGCTGATACCATTCCTTCTGAAACTATTCCAAACAACAGAACAAGAGAGACTCCTCCCTAACTCATTTTATGAGGCCAGCATCATCCTGACACCAAAGCCTGGCAGAGACACAACAACAAAAAAAGAAAATTTCAGGCCAATATCCCTGATAAACATCAATGTGAAAATCCTCAATAAAATACTGACAAACCAAATCCAGCAGCACATCAAAAAGCTTATCCAACACGATCAAGTCAGCTTCATCCCTGGGACGCAAGGCTTGTTCAACATACAAAAATCAATAAAGGTAATCCATCCCACATAAACAGAACCAATGACAAAAACCACATCATCACTAGTCATTAGAGAAATGCAAATCAAAACCACAGTGAGATACCCATCTTACACCAGTTAGAATGGCAATCATTACAAAGTCAGGAAACAACAGATGCTGGAGAGGATGTGGAGAAATAGGAACACTTTTACATCTCAATAGAATGCAGAAAAGGCCTTCAATAAACTTCAACACCCCTTCAAGCTAAAAACTCAATAAACTAGGTATTGATGGAACATATCTCAAAATAATAAAAGCTATTTATGACAAACTCACAGCCAATATCATACAGAATGGGCAAAAGCTGGAAGCATTCTCTTTGAAAACTGGCACAAGACAAGGATGCCCTCTGTCACCATTCCTATTCAACATAGTATCGGAAGTTCTGGCAAGAGTAATCAGGCAAGAGAAAGAAATAAAGGGTATTCAACAGGAAGTGAGGAAGTCAAATTCTCTCTGCAGATGACATGACTGTCAATTTAGAAAACCCCATTTTCTCAGCCCCAAATCTCCTTAAGCTGATAAGCAACTTCAGCAAAGTCTCAGGATACAAAATCAATGTGCAAAAATCACAAGCATTCCTATACACCAATAACAGACAAACAGAGAGCCAAATCATGAGTAAGCTTCCATTCACAATTGCTACAAAGAGAATAAAATACTAGGAATACAACTTACAAGGGATGTGAAAGACCTCTTCAAGGAAAACAGCAAACCACTGCTCAAGGAAATAAGAGAGGACACAAACAAATGGAAAAACATTTCATGCTCATGGTTAGCAAGAATCAATATTGTGAAAATGGCCATACTGACCAAACTTATTTATAGATTCAATGCTATCCTGATCAAGCTACCACTGACTTTCTTCACAGAACTGGAAAAACCTACTTTAAAGTTCATATGGAACCAAAAAAGAGCCCGTATAGCCAAGATAATCATAAGCAAAAAGAACAAAGCTGGAGGAATCATGTTACCTGACTTCAAACTATACTACAAGGCTACAGTAACCAAAACAGCATGGTATTGGTACCAAAACAGATATATAGACCAATGTAACAGAACAGAAACCTCAGAAATAATGCCACACATCTACAACCATCTGATCTTTGACAAACCTGACAAAAACAAGCAATGGGGAAAGGATTCCCTATTTAATAAATGGTGTTGGTAAAACTGGCCAGCCATATGCAGAAAACTGAAACTGGACCCCTTCCTTACACTTTTTTTTCTTTTTTTTTTTTGAGATGGTGTCTTGCTCTGTCACCCAGGCTAGAGTGCAGTGGCGCGATCTTGATTCACTGCAAGCTCTGCCTTCCGGGTTCATGCCATTCTCCTGCCTCAGCCTCCTCAGTAGCTGGGGCTACAGGTGTCTGCCACCATGCCTGGCTAATTTTTTTGTATTTTTAGTAGAGACGGGGTTTCACTGTGTTAGCCAGGATGGTCTTGATCTCCTGACCTCATGATCTGCTTCCTTACACCTTATACAAAAATCAACTCAAGATGGATTAAAGACCTAAACGTAAGACCTGAAGCCATAAAAACCCTAGAAGACAACCTAGGCAATACCATTCAGGACATAGGCATGAACAAAGACTAAAACACCAAAAGCAATGGCAGCAAAAGACAAAATTGACAAATGAGATCTAATTAAACTAAAGATCTTCTGCACAGAAAAAGAAACTATCATCAGAGTGAACTGGCAACCTACAGAATGGGAGAAAATTTTTGCAATCTATCCATCTGGCAAAGGGCTAATATCCAGAACCTACAAGGAAATTAAACAAATTTACAAGAAAAAACAAACAACTGCATCAAAAAGTGGGTGAAGGATATGAACAGACACTTCTCAAAAGAAGACATTTATATGGCCAACAAACATATTGAAAAAAAGCTCATCATCAGTGGTCATTAAAGAAATGCAAATCAAAACCACAATGAGATACCATCTTATGCCAGTTAGAATGGCGATCATTGCAAAGTCAGGAAAAAACAGATGCTGGAGAAGATGTGGAGAAATAGGAACGCTTTTACACTGTTGGTGGGAGTGTAAATTAGTTCAACCATTGTGGAAGACAGTGTGATGATTCCTCAAGGATCTAGAACTAGAAATACCATTTGACTCAGCAATCCCATTACTGGGTATTTACCCAAAGGATTATAAATCATTCTACAATAAAGACACATGCATGTATATGTTTATTGCAGCACTGTTCACAATAGCAAAGACTTGGAACCAATCCAAATGTCCATCAATGATAGACTGGATAAAGAAAATGTGGCTCACATACACCGTGGAATACTATGCAGCCATAAAAAAGGATGAGTTCATGTCCTCTACAGGGACATGGATGAAGCTGGAAACCATCATTCTCACCAAACTAACACAGGAACAAAAAACCAAACACCAGATGTTCTCACTTATAAGTGGGAGTTGAACAATGAGAACACATGGACACAGGGAGGGGAACATCACACACCAGGGTCTGTTGGGGTTGGGGGCTAGGGGAGGGATAGCATTAGGATAAATACCTAATGTAGATGACAGGTTGATGGGTGCAGCAAACCACCGTGGCATGTGTATACCTATGTAACAAACCTATACATTCTGCACGTGTATCTCAAAACTTAAAGTATAATAAAAAAAGAAAAAAAATTAAAACATAAAAATTACATATAAAAAACAGAGCAGGGATGTATTTTTTATTTTATAATACACCTGTGTATAATTGGAATGTTTTTCTTATGATTTATCACTCAAACTTAGCAGAAAAATGCTGTGCTGACTCTCTGATAGCTGCACTAAAGCAAATGGGAAAAAGAAGCACCCTTTCACTCTGGAGAAAAATTAGGCTGTGGTCAATTTAGCAATTTGATAAAAATCCACCGTGTTCTTGTGTGTAACATTTCAAGTTTGGGACAGGCTGGAAAATCTGAAGTCATTTTGTATTTAATCAGAGCAAGAAGAAAACAAGACTTTTTGAATACTGGGCTATATCATCCAAAGTGGCAATCCGCATTGTGGCTAGTCTGGAAAAACAAGTGAATATTGCTACAGGTACATTTAGATTCAAAGTGTATGTAGAGAGCTAAGTGAATTTTTCACATTCTTCTAGCCTAGCTTGGGCAAGGAGACTGTACAAAACAAGAAGAGAAGTCAGTATCCAATCCAAAATTAAAAGTACTTGTAAAGCTGTGAATCCAAAGGGAAGAAAAATCACTCAGAATGGCAACAGGATTAACGACAGGGAATGCATTTCTATAAAACATATAATTAATTATTTATGAAGGAAGACAGAAGAATTCTGTTTTTACATAATCCATGACTTGGATATTGACTTAAGTACTTTAACTCTTAGAATAACACATGTGGAAACAAAGAAGGGACGCCCCATTGCAGTGACAGAGGAGCTCTGAGAACTACTCCAGGTAGGGAGGGTCCAACTGCCCCTGCACAAGTGTGGGGGCCAGTTACCCACATATAACAATTCTTGATCAGTCTTCTTATTTTAACAATATAATCACAGCTGCCTATTGAGATCACCACAATCCTTCATTCTGGTCTCTGAGAAGGCAACCTGACTATCCAATATAGCAATTCTCATCTTGCTGTCTCTTTACTTTTCTTTTTCTTTTCCTTTTTTGAGACAGAGTTTCACTCTTGTTGCCCAGGCTGGAGTGCAATGGCATGATCTCAGCTCACTGCAAACTCTGCCTCCCAGGGTCAAGTGATTCTCCTGCCTCAGCCTCCTGAGTAGCTGGGACTACAGGTGCACACCACCATGCCCAGCTGATTTTCTTATTTTTAGTAGAGACAGGGTTTCACCAGGTTGGCCAGGCTATTGTTAAATGCCTGACCTCAAGTGATCCACCCACCTTGGCCTCCCAAAGTGCTGGGATTAGAGTGCATTTTCTTTAAAGTACTTATCACAACCTGAAACTACTTTTTTTAAATTGAATTATGCATATATTGTCTCCAATCTCCACTAGCATAAGAGAACATATTTTGTCTAGTTTGTTTACCTTTTTTAATCAACTAGAATATTGTATGATGCATCACATGTGCTCAGTAAATACATATATATGTATAAGTGTGTATATACATATATATGTACACACACATATTTTTAAATGCATCAATTACTTTAGTGAGATTTTCTCTTCTGTGGCAAATATTTTGGTGTAGTTGCTAGTGAATCTAAAGCATACAAAACGCAGTTATTTGGCAAAAAACATATATGTATACACACACAAATATTTGTATATACACATGTGCACGCACACACACACATATATATCTATACTTCTGCAGTCTCCTCACAACTGATGAATAGTAAAATCATCAATGAAAAGAAAGACTGAAATAGGTTGAGAATGTCTCTGTTCCAGTCAGGAGTTGAGGAGGAGTGATCCAGAGGGCCTAAGAAATTTGGTATCCCCAAGGCTAAATGGTTGTAAGAAAGCTTCCCAATGTAATGCAGATTTGGAAGGAAGCAGACATTCTTATAAACTTTTATGTTTATAAAACATAAAAATTATGCTGACAGAGAGGACATGCACCTTGCAGGAGGACCCTCAAAGGGCTGCTGGCAGAAGATAAATCCTTATGCTATGAGATAACTTCTTTCATTTAAAAAAATTGCTTGAGTTCAACCAAAACCAATAAGAGACAGTAAAACAATAAACTACCATCTGGATTTAAAATTACTCTTAAACTCTCCCTTTGTTGCTCCTAGCTCTGGACCAGAAGTTTTCCCTTTCCCTAGCCAGCAGCACAGGGTGTAATTAAGCCTATGAACTCGTACCTCCAAGCTACCAAGACACAAGAAAGGACCAAGGAAGGGCCACAGCCCGGAAATGCAGGGCAGATGGGGCCTCCAAGGGAAGCTTGTGCATTAAGAAGGTGAGATTATCTCCACGAGGATATGCTTGGAAGGTCTGCACAGTGATAATGGGTTTTATTTGGTTCTTGGCGACATTTTAGATAGATTAAAATTTCTATACTCAGATTTCTGTCCTACACCCTACTCGGTTTGGAGTCTACCACTATCAAATTGTGGTAAGAATCTTTCAGTCATTTTTGAGGTTCTTGGCACAAAAGGGGGAATAAATCATTTCCTGAAGCCCCACCACAGCCCCTGCAATCATTAGTAAGCAAAAGACATCATTAGTGAAGGCACAGGGCTGAAAAGAGAGAGTCAAGGTTATTGCCAGGTAAAGGTAAGGCTAATTTCCGTTACGGCAGCTCTTACTTGGGAAGAGGTAAAAGGCCAACAGCACCAAAAACCAAAAATCTAAGGCTTGTGGCACACAAAGAAAGAGAAGTGTACTCTGATTCCACAATTTTAATATTGACGTGTAATGTAGTGAAAGAAAAACATATCAGTTGGCATGTCTTAAGCAGTTACCTCAGTATAAAATGTAAATAAAATTACTGAGTTATACAAAATACTAAAAATAGAATCTGGTAGTATATTAACATATAATGATAAAGTAAGGTTTATTTCAGAAAAGCAATATTTATTCATTATTAAGACATAGACTTGGGGAAGAATTTCCATAGATCTTATTCTCTTACTGTCTTATTATATCAACTTGAGTTTCTTTACAAGTGAGTCCATCTCTTTTTCATTCCCTTATCCCTCTACCTACTGATAGTTTTTAGAGGCTGTATTGATAAAAGGTAGTTTGGGAGTAAAGGCAAAAAATTACAAGGTAACACCACTGAGAGAGTAAGCAATCAGGATATGCTGTATAATTGTTAAATCTATTCTTAATAAAATATATTATAAAAAAAGTGTCATCAAAATTGACTCAAGAATTACTTATAAATCTAAATGACTGATGATTTTTTTCAAATTTTTCTACAGCTATTGAATGATTTCCTCAAAGAAAGGTTCTAGATTTTAAAATCAAGATGGTATATTGAAAACACAAGTCCACCAAAATATCCATGAAGTAGAAAAATAGAGAGGAATATAAGAATAAAAGCATAACAAATGTGTAAAACAGGAAAGAGTGCCACCAAGTGGAATGATGTATTATTTAGGGTTCTCCTGAGAAACAGGACCAGTAGGAGACTGGTTCTCCTATTCTCACCAATAAAGCTATTGTATATATAGTATGACGTATTATTTAATACTATATATATATATATGGAAGAGTTGATGCTGCAGTTCAAGTTCAAGGGCAATATGCTGGCAGAATTTCCTCTTCAAGGATGTCAGCCTTTTTTTATTGAGGCCTTCAACTAATTGTACGAGGCCTTCCCATATTATGGAGGGTAACCTGCTTCACACAAGCCTACTAATTTAAATGTTAATCTCATCTAAAAAATACCTTCACAGAAACATATAGAATCATGTTTCATCAAATGTCTGAGTACCATGGCCTAGCCCAATTGACATAAAATATTAATTATCACAGATGATACTTGAGGAATTCCTAAAAGAAAACTGAAAGCAATCATATTTGCTGCAAAAATAAAGAATCACTGTCAACCCATATGAGGAAAAGAGTGAGTTTAAGGTTTTTCCAGAATCCATTTTCTTCTCCACAAAATCACCAACAGATAACAATGAGCAGAAGAGAGCCGTTGGACAATTGTTGGGATAATTGACTTCATCTCTATATTCAGAGCAGGTAAACCGTTGGCTCCTTGCCCTTCCTGACTTGAGCTGAGCAATGGGCAGCAGCAACATTAACTGACAGGTTTCAGCTCTGTATGGACAGTGGGGTAGAAGGGGCAACACAGAACAAGGGGATAGGTTCTGACTCTCAGAGAGATAGAGATCACACACTCCTAGAAGCCTGAGGAACACCACACTTAGTGGCACACGCCACACTTTACCATGATCACATAATCAGCACCTACTAAAGGGAAAACAGAAACTCTTAAATTCAGAGATAAAATCAAAATCACCAATCATTTGAATAAGGAATGCAAAGAATTGTAAAAAGAGCAGTATGACCAAAGCACAGAAGGTCAAGAAATAACGTGGCATGAGAAGTCAGTGGAGCATTAGGAAAAGAGGATCATGCAGGGCTCTGTAAGCCAATTGATGTTTTAGCTTTATCCTAAGAGAAACAGAAATCCATCAAAGGAGTTTCAGCCTTGATGTAATACAACACATTAAAACAAAAACAAAACAGATAATGTGGTTGTCAGAAGAAAATAGTTTGGACAGGCTTTCCATTTCCAGTTATGATAGACTTAGTAACCAAACCAAATTTCCCTCTGAAAAAAAAATTCTAGATAAAACACACACACAAAAACCCCACCAACCTAATGGAAGAAATATACAGAATACTGACTTCAAAATCCACATGCAGACAGAAACCCATATGAATGAAAATAACACAGAAACCACTTTTGGCCTAAATTCAGCTAAAGATGTTGAACTCAAGTTTTGTTCTTCATGTTTTTTGGGTACAGGCAAAATGAGGCACAGTGCAAGACCAACCAAAGTATGGAAGATAACAACAGACTTTATTTTCATAAAGCTGGTACCCCAAAAGGCACATCCTCAATATTTGAGTGAATTAGAACTAAAGTCAAGATTTCCTAATCCCGCTCTTGCCATGGAATATTTCCTGTTTCAACGATGTTACTGAGAAAAAGGGGGAAATGGCTCTGAGAAATGTGACATAAGGTGGCTTTCTTATGGATTTGTAGCTCAAATTCACATTGACTGGGTAAAGCAAAATACCTTAAGTAGTGATTTTAACTAAAATGGTCCCACACAGGTAGTAGCTGCCAGAGACGTGAAACAAATCCACATGAAGGGAAATTGCCTTTATCCTAAGCATCGAATAATTCTCACAAATAAACCTACAAGGAAAATGAGCAGCTTACAGTAAAAATATAATAAAAATAAATCACTAAACGTTAAGTAAAACAAATCTTCATGAGTGAAAACCAGCAGAAACAATGAGTAGTTGAAAGATACCTGTAGAGAATACAGAATAGTTATGTTTATTATATTTAAGGAAATAAAAAACAAGCTTAAATACCAATTCAGGGTACAGAAAACCAAAGTAACCCAGAAAGAAACGTTAAAGCATCAAATAAAAATTCAAAAAAATAACAATTAATATTTTAAATAATCAGTGGATGATTTTAACAACAGGTTATACAAAATTAAAGAATTTGTGAACTGGAAAATATTTAAGGAAAATAAATCTACAATGAAGAAAAAGAGCCAAAATACATGAAAATATGATAGAGAAAATAACATACAGAGATCATAGAGTAAGAAAGTCCAATATATATCGATCCAGATATTCCAAAAATAAATAGGACAGAGGCAATATTTGAAGCAGTAACTACTAAGCACTTGTTCAAATCTAATGAAAGACATCAATTCACAAATCTAAGAAGTTTAACAATTCCCAAGCTGGATAAAAGGAAATCTATATTTGAGCAGTCATAATGAAAATATTGAACACAAGCATAGAGATAATATACAAAACAATAGTTTTTCAAGGAGAATAGTTAGACTGGGAATTGACTTATCAATAGCAACACAATGGAAGTGGAGATTTAGTGGAATAAAATCTTCAATGTGCTGAAAAAATAACAATCAAAATATTTTACCAGATGATTCTGGTAATTGCAAATAAGCCTGCTGTAGATAATTACTTCTTTCAAAAACAAGTAGAAAGTCTGAAAAAAATACAAAACAAAAGAAAGAAAAATTATTTGAAGATGTCAGAGACCCACCTTGGAAGCAAAAACTTGAGGGGACAACAGAGAGAAGCAAACCTGACATTCATTGTCACTTTTCTCACTGGGGCATTTGCTGTCTTGGAAGCAGGTATTGAGGGACTGAAAAGCTGCCCAAACCTTTCAGTAGGCTTTTAAGGCTAGGGGAAAAATGAATGTGGGTCTAGAAAGAGTTGGGGGCCCAGTAAACACTCTAGGCTATCAGTTGGAACTCCCAAAGGGATACACTCTAGGAACAGCAGTGAATTAAAAATAAACACAAACCTTGAAAGCTAGCTGTGAAACAATTATAATCTCTAATTAAATTGAAATGATCAGTCCCAATTTTAACAGCCTAACACAAAGTAAATCCTCTCTCAGGGAAGACTTACCTTCAAAAAACAAAAAAAGGGATTAGTCATCAGGAAAGTTAATGCAAATAAATACCATAATGAGATACCACTGGATACTCAACAGAATATCAAAAATTAAAGAGACTGACAATTCCACAATTCTGTCAGCAAGGATATGAAACGGTTAAATGTTGTCGTTGAAAGCACAATTAGGTACAAACACTTTGGAAAACTTTGGCAGAATCACTGCGGAACATGCATATAATCATCCCCAAGCAATTCTTCTCCTAGGCATATAACCAACAGAAATTAATATATGTGCACAGAAGGACAAGTACAAGCATGTCACACTGTTTTATTGTAATAGCTCTGAACAAGAACAATCCAAACATCCATCATCCATAGAAAGGATAAATAATTTGTAGTCTGTTTATACAAAGGGAGCACTATAAACAATGAAAATAGCCAAACAAATGCTGCATACAGCATGAATGAATTTCGCCAATATGATATTGTACAAAATAAGAAGTCTAATAATACATACCATACATAAAGTTTGAAAACATGTAACATGTATCTGTGATGTTAGATACCAGAATAGAAGTTACCTCTGGAAAGAACAGAGAAGGGAAGGTCACTAGGGTCTCAGAGATGTCCTCTGTCTTGATCTAGGTAATGGTTACACAGGAGAGGTCAGCTTATGATAATTCATTAAATTGAATACTCAAGGATTATTAATCATCTACATGTATGTCATATTAAAATAAAATATATTTTTAAAAATATATTTAAAAGATATACACAGTGAAAATATCCTTCAAAAATGAGGGCAAAATAAAGACATTTCCAAACATAAACAAATAGAGCTTGTTACAGCAAACTCTCCGTAAAGGAAGTTCTAAATCATGTACCTCACTTAGAAGGAAAGTGATACCAAATGATATGTCTGAGGTGCAAGAAGAAATAATGAACAAATAAATAGTTAAATATATAAATAAATGTAAACAAATATTAACTCTAATAATAATAACAATAATGTCTTGTCCAGTTTTAGAGAGAGATGAAAATAAAACATGTTAAACAGTAGTATATAATTGGGGAGTGGGTTAAATGGAATTCAGCTGTTTTGAGTTCTTGTATTGCTTAGGAAGCAAGTAGGACGCTGATTAAATTTAGGTTTTGAAAAGTTAAGATGCATGTAATAATTTCTAGCCTAGCTTCTTGTAGAGAAAAAAGGTGTAAAACTTTCAAGCTGGTAGAGAATAAAGCAGAACAAAAAATTGTCAGTCCAAAGGAAAGCTAGTGAGGAGAGGGAAATGAAACATAGAAGAGATAGAACAACTAAAAAGCAAAAAATAATATCATACATACAACCCAAAATCTATCAGTAATCACAATAAATATAAATAACTTAAATTCTCCAGTTTACAAACAAAAAATTACAGATTAAAACCATAAAAACAGACAAAATACCTGTACAACAAGCCCATATGAGACAAGTTTACCTATATAACAAATCTGCACATGTACCCCTGAACTTAAAATAAAAGTTAAAGAAAAAATAAAAGTATATATATATGCATATATATATGTGTATATATATATATGTATATATATGTGTATATATATGTGTATATATATATATGTATATATATACATATGCAAAACCTAGGTTCAAGCTCCATACAAAATCAAAACAAAACAAAAAGGATAAAGAATGGTTACATGTAAAAGAATGGAAATGATATTTTAGTCAAATGTGAACCAAAAGAAAACTAGAAAAAAATATGTAAATATCAGATTAAATAAACTTTGAGGCAAATATATTCATAGAAATGAAGATAACTTTATCAAAATTGGAAGTTCAATTCACCAAGAAGAATTTACTATTACAAAAATGTGGTTATGTAAAATAGTGGGAGATTTTTAACAGGCATGTTGATTTCTCCTTGTTCTGTGATTTTTTGCTATATAAGTGCTGAGTATATAAATATGTTTGCATAAGTAACTAATACATTAAGCAGATAAATCAGTAAATTATAGAATATTTGAATGAAACAATAAGCCATATTTAATGGACATAACATATAGAACACTAAACATATTACAACAGGGTAGATTTATTTTGTTTAGCCCAGATAGAACATTTATAAAAATGAACTGCAGACTGGACAATAAAACAAGACATATTTCAAAGAAAAGGAATCAGAGAGTTTTTTTTCTACTATCAGCAACATTAAAATGGAAAAAAATCACAAAAGATAGCAAAATAAATTCTGTATTTCTGAAGTTAAGAAACACTGAAAAATTTAAAATATGTAGAATCAATAATCACTACCTATCAAAACTTCTGGGGTGCAGTTAAAACAATACCTATCATTTTACAGCCTTAAAAGAGTACATTAGAAAATAAAAGTGGCTAGTATTTATTGAGCTAAGCATCTGTCTTTAGAAGTTAGAAAAATAACAGCAAAAAAAGCTCAGAAAATGGATAGGCAGAAGACAGTAACAAAAATGGATATAGGGAACCAGGTAAAGACTAGTGAAATGTCCAGTTGGAAGAGGCTCTTTAGTAATATGAGAGATGGAGAAAAGACCAACTCTAGAAATAATATGAGGCAGGGAAGCAAATCTCTGTGAATTAATTGATATAGGAGAATGAGGGAAGGGAAGTTGTAGGATTATTCCCCAACTCTGGAATTGATTCAAATTATTTTTCATTGGAAATTGATGAACAACTTGGCCAAGTGTAGAAAATGGAAGTGAAAGGAGCTATCATTTGTTGAATGCAAATGCACATATCATTTTTGAACAGCCAGCACTGTACCATTGTACACATTGGTCTTATTAATTCTCACAATAGCCTTTTGAGGTGCATCTGTTAATATACTCCTTTGATCTAAGCCTTCAGATGTATTAACTAGCCAAAAGCCATACAGCTTGTGTATGAGTAAACAGTGACTTTAATTCAGCTGTTGCATTTAAAGTCCATATCCATTCTTGGTTTTGCTTCAGACATGTTACATTTGAGTTGTCCGGAAAAAAACTAAGAACACTGGGCAAAGTACATATGAGCTGGCCACCAAAAGAAAAATAGCCAAATATAGGATGAAGATATATTCCAAATTTAGAAATTTCATTAGCATGTTACTAAATTGCATCTATTAAATTTTCTTGTGGTTCACTTTACATTCCGTGACGATATAGGGGTACTTCTTTGTCCAATAATAACCATAATGCAGGTTTAAATAAAAGCAGGAACTTGATAAATGTTATTCTTACAAACTACAAATCATTTCAATGTGTTCTGCTTGTTGGCTTATGAATCACTTACAGAATTGATTGCAACTCTGTGGAAGTGGAAATAAATGAATCAAACTCAAATTTAGTGTCCTTAGAAGTCTCCCAAAACAAAATTCGCTGCAGTCTTTTGGCCAATAAGTTAGAATGCTTCCTCAGAGGTAACACAAGGCTTGATGGTAAGTAGTCTCTATCCACTTAGTGAAATAGTCTTGAAAAATAATCTTATCAGAAGAGGAAAACAGGAATTGTTTAGGGGAATTTCCTAAGGATAATAACTTTACATGAATAATTGGTTTTTCCACAAATTCTTTCATGTCTGTATAATCATACACAATAAGGAAATAAGTCAATTGAATGCATTATTCTGCCATGTTAATTTTGGACAGCAAAATTGCTTACTATATTCTAAAGAATATTTACCCACACATGGCTGCTTCTTACTGGTGAAACCACAAAGATTATTACAGTAAAATGAAAGTGCAAAAGGACTCAGAAGGAAGAAGATTTTTTAAAAGTTATTTCTAGAACATGAAGTCAATTTTCAGAGTATAGCAGGCAAAGTTAAAGGAACAGAAACTTCACTTTTTCCAGGCAACTCTCAAATATTCAAGGATCAAAAAATAAAGCTGTATTCTGTTACAAGAGAATGTAATTTCTCTCCACTAAAAACAGCGGGCATTTGAGCTCGATAATGAGGAGGCAGAAAACATGTTAATCTTGTTTTACAAATTAAGGTAAGTGAAGTAAAGTCTTCCATGTATGACAATTATATAGCAAAAATTATAGAAAAACATCATAAGGGAGAATGAACATTTGTTAAAACAATGGGTATATGCAGTGTTAATATTTTCCATATATATTATTCTTTTTTTATTGTTCTTATTTCTCTGTGGGATTTATTTATCCCTTAAGCAAATTTCTGTATCAACAAAACGTAATGTTTTAAGTGCTGCCTCACAAATGATATCAGGATTATCAGCAGCCATATGATAAGCCAAGAGGGAGAAGGGAGGGAGCGATGGACCACGAGTTAGGACACTTTGGTAAAAGTTCTAGCTTCACCAATGAGGCCAACGCTATACACTGCTTATCAATAGCCATTTTGCCCCCTCTGTGCTTCCACATCCTGTTTTAGTCAATATCTTATTTATCTAAATGTACATTGAAATATAACTTTACAGTGTGAATTTGATAGCTAGGCTCATTAATTTATTTGCTAAATATTTATTAAGCATTTGTTACAGACCAGGTGATAAGCCTTGCAATATAATACAAAACATGTCTATCCCCTCAAGTAGTTGTACATTACAGATAACATTTGCATGATTTTATATTTTTCCTGTGCCTTTTTATGAACAACGTGGACTTTCATTTTTTATTTCTGTCAAAACTAAAAATATCTTTTACTTGGGAAGTTTAGATCATTTACATTTATTATGATATATTTGGTTTTCTGTTGCTATAACAGAATATACTTGAGACTGGGTAATTTGTCAAGAAAAGAGAAAAGTTTTCTTTGACTCACAGTTCAGGAGGTTGGGAAGTCCAAGACTGGTGGCCAAATCTGGTTAGCTCCTGATGAGGGCCTCTTGCTGTGTCATAACATAGCAGAGAAGCGAAAGGGAAGCAGGCATCTGTAAGAGCACAAAAGGGAAGCAGGCATCTGTGAGAGCACAAAAGCACACAGGGAAAACTCGCTATAACAACCTGCTCTCCCAGTAACTAACCCACTCCTGCTATAATGACATGAACACATTCATGAGGGCTCCACTACTGTGACCCAAACACTTCCCAGTAGGCTTCACTGCCAAACACTGCTGCAGTAATAAGCAACCTTCCAACACATGAATTCTGGGGAACACACACACAAACCATAGCAATATATAAACACACTTATACATACATAAAACTTTTTCTATCTACTCTCTATATTTTTTATCTTCTATTTTACATTTGTAATTTTTTTGTTTCTCCATGTGGTTGTCTGATAATTTATTCAGGCTTATATTCTAAAGATTCTCTCTTCGGCATTGACTAATATTCTGTATAACAATGTATTAAGATTTTAATTTAAAAATTTACTTTCTATCTAAAATTTCTGTTTTGTTCTTTTACAGATCTGCCTAGTAATTTTGGTGTTCTCTTAATTCTTGATCATTATTTATTTACTATTTATAGAAATTTATGAGATACAAGTATAATTTTGTTACATGGAATTATCATGTAGTGGTGAAGTCAAGGTTTTTAGTGCATTCATTATCTGAATAACAAACATTGTACCCATTGACTAATTTTTCATCACCTAATCCCTCCCACCCACCCCCCAACCTTCCAAATTTCCATTGTCAACATCGTCACCATTATTCAATACTCTATGTCCATGTGCACAGATTATTTAGCTCTCACTTTTAAGTGAGAACATGTGGTATTTGTGTTTTCGTATCTGAGTTGTTTCACTTAAAATAATGGTCTCCAGTTCCATCCATGTTGCTGCAAAAGACATGATTTCATTCTTTTTATGGCTAAATAGTATTCCATTGTGTACATATGCATCATATTTTCTTTATCCAATTGTCTGATTGTTGTGGACACTTAGGTGGATTCCATATCTTTGCTATATAGTGAATCGTGTTGCAATAAACATACAAGTGCAGGTATCTTTTGATATAACTTATTTTCTTTTCTTTTGGGTGGATACTCGGTAGCAGAATTTCTGGATCAAACAATGGGTCTATTTTTTATTTTCTATTTTACTTCTTGAAAATTTTTATACATGTTTATTTTACATATGGAACCTGATAATATCTGAAGCTCTTAGATGTCTAAATATATTGTTTACTAACTTTGCTGGTTCTCTATAGTGATTTCTTATCTTGTGGGTTTGAAAATGCTTTCATGGTCAAGTTCATATTTTATTGAACTTAATCCAAAATTATAGGCAACTACAATGGAAATGCTTCCTTCCAAGAGAATTTAGTTATTACTCTATAGGGCATCAAAATATGCTACTAATTGTCTATGGCTTCATTTCCCTATTGCATCACTAATCATCAGGACTCCATTGCCTTTCACATTCACAATTTTATCTTGGGGAGGCTGGGGGCTGGAGGTAAGCTTGTAGGTTTCATTAATTTCAAGGAATACAGGGAGAAAATTTATTTTTGTTACATGTAGGATCTAGTTGTAGTTTAGTAGACAGGCTCTTCATAAAATCTAGTCTGTCATAAGACCACGAAAAATAGTCCCTTTATTTTTCCAGGTATTGAAAGGTATATTGAGGTAGTGGAAGTATGAGAGTTATTTACCCAGTAATAAATAGATTAAATCACATTGCTCACTTAGTTACATAATTAAGGTTGTAGTAATAGGCAAGGAACTTCAGTAACAGAATTAAAGCTGGTACTGGTAGACATCTGTATACATCCATGTAACATCTAGGTGAGTTATTTCAATTGAGTACACAAGCATTTTATTTAGGATGATATCTATAGAGAGAGTTTTGTTTTAAATGAGGATGAGAAGGTAGAAAAAAATAGGATGAGGAACAAACTTTTGAACAAAAAATATATAAATTACATAGTAGTTATATGTAGTATAATTACAAAAATATTTTCATTTGCATATATTTTTAAACCTGGTAATTCACTTTCTTTCTAAAAACCCTTAAATGATGCCCCATTTTTAAATGATAAATCTGAACTCCTTAGCATAACATACTAGGAACCTGATGATCTGTTTCCTCATCAGATCTTATTGCTCACCACTGTCCACTTCATAGTTTACACTCCATCTATATTGAATTACTGAATGCAGCAAGCATCTACCTAACCAAAAGCTAGCTGTTTTCCTCTTCCTTGCAAACAGAATCTTGAGTTTGCTACAATATTGAGAAGAGATCTTTTTCTCTCAGAGAATTCTGGCCTATTATGTAATCTGGAGATGGGCATGTTCCTGAGTTCTGGGTAAGAAGAAGTCTTCTAAAAAATATTGGAAAAAGATCTCTCATGAATAAAAGAAAATATCCATTTTTCCTGTATTTATTTTGCTTGTGAAAAACCAAGATGCCTAGTGCTACAGCAGCCATCTTACAACCATGAGACAATAAGACGAGCCCAGATCTATCAGACTCTGATGTCCACATTCTTCTCACTACCTCTTTGCCTCTTGAACAACCTTGAGGTCATTTGGCTAAGATTGCCATCTAATCTGTGAATAGAATGAACAGAAATGTAAGGTTTAATATGCCAAAGCTGAATTTCAGCTCAATCCCACTTCTACCCAACACATGAAAGAACAATCCTGATTCACCTATAATGTTCCCATTGTAGCTGCTGTGACTCTGTATAATTTTAGTTGCCGAGGCCATAAACCTTGAAATTGTCTTTGACTTCTCTTTTTGCACATGTCCCACAGACAATCTGTCTGGAATATATATCACAAAATATATCTGGAATCTGATCACTTCTTATCACAGATCCTGCTACTATCCATGTGTGAGGCACTGTCCCTTCTCACCTGGATTTTTGCAACAGCCCCCAAACATAGAAGACAGAGTGAGCCTTTACGAAAGCAATCCAGATAATGACATTCGTATGCTTAAAACCTTCCAAAGTCTCTCCAACAATTTCTATGTTCTGTCCATCAGCTCCCCATGGACCCCACATCACAGACCCTGGAATGTTAGAAGTTAAATGACTTACCCAAAGTCACAGAGCCTATAGTAATAGGGCCGAGGCTAGAACCCAACTCGAGGCAACAAGATGAAGATGGCAAGTTTCAGGTTCTTATGTTATATTTAAACACGAATAATTTATCTAATTTAATTCATAATAAAGAAAATTTGGGAAAGGACTGTCTTCCCTACCAAAATGAAAGTTGATCAAAGGCAATGATAGCCCTTATGATTCTGGAATATTCTCAGGTTATTTCTTAAATTCCTTCTCACAATGACCAAGTGAACACAATGACTTCCTAAATAATTACTGTGTTCTAGTAATTATTCTATCCATTAGTAATGGATGTCATCCATTAATAATCATCACAGTCAGGATTCTCCTACAATTCTCCATTGTGCTATAGCCAGCAAGTCATTAAGAAAGTCTTCTGATAGTGTATACATTTGTAACCAAGAAGTGCCTAATAATTATATGTATAGTGAAAGATGAAAGTATTAGTTCAATAATATCTTTATACCTCTCAAACTCAAACACCTTCTTCACTAAAGTCTCCTTGGCTAAAAATGTCCCCTTCCTCTCATCTTCTCTTCTATTCCTACACACATGTGAAATAAACTCTGTTAACCTGAACTCCTTCCTTTGGAAAACAAACATTAATTATCCAGTTTGCACTAGGCCTGGTTGAGAATGTTATTAATCTATGGTGGATACTGAAAATGGAAGTCCATTTGCGAGCACTGTGTAACATGAGGCTCTTTTTCCAGGGGTAGCAGGCCCCAAATTACACATTCTCCCACCCTGAATTAATGCAAGTCAAGTAGATAAAGTTATAACGCAAATGCCCATTGCCCTTTGGCATGATTCCAACCCTACTTGATTCTAGGGAAGAGGGTTGTTTTGATAGGTAAGATTTTGACTAGCAGCCCTCACCGACACAATGTCTTGGTAGTGGTAAGAGATAGATGTGTATAGACCACCAAAATAAATATTGTGTTCTATATCTACGTGTCTATAACCCCAAAACTCTGCATCAAAATTGACACTCTTTTTAGGTCTCTAAGGACTTGCTTTATGAATCTGGGTGCTCCTGTATTGGGTACACATATATTTAGGATAGTTAGCTCTTCTTGTTGAATTGATCACTTTACCATTATGTAATGGCCTTCTTTTGATCTTTGTTGGTTTAAAGTCTGTTTTACCAGAGACTAGGATTGTAACTCCTGCCTTTTTTTGTTTTCCATTTGCTTGGTAGCTCTTCCTCCATCCCTTTATTTTGAGCCTATGTGTGTCTCTGCATGTGAGATGGGTTTCCTGAATACAGCACACTGATGGGTCTTGACTCTATCCAGTTTGCCAGTCTGTGTCTTTTAATTGGAGCATTTAGCCCATTTACATTTAACATTAATATTGTCATGTGTGAATTTGATCTGTCATTATGATGTTAGCTGGTTATTTTGCTTGTTAGTTGATGCAGTTTCTTCCTAGCTTCGATGGTCTTTACAATTTGGCATGTTTTTGCAGTGGCTGGTACTGGTTGTTCCTTTCCATGTTTAGTGCTTCCTTCGGGAGCTCTTGTAGGGCAGGCCAGGTGGTGACAAAATCTCTCAGCATTTGTTTGTCTGTAAAGGATTTTATTTCTCCTTCATCTATGAAGCGTAGTTTGGCTGGTTATGAAATTCCGGGTTGAAAATTCTTTTCTTTAAGAATGTTGAATATTGGGCCCCACTCTCTTCTGGCTTGTAGAGTTTCTGCAAGAGATCAGCTGTTAGTCTGATGGGCTTCCCTTTGTGGGTAACCTGACATTTCTCTCTGGCTGCCCTTAACATTTTTTCCTTCATGTCAACTTCAGTGAATCTGACAATTATGTGTCTTGGAGTTGCTCTTCTCGAGGAGTATCTTTGTGGCATAATAACCTGCAGAGTGTTTTCCAACTTGGTTCCATTCTCCCCATCACCTTCAGGTACACTAATCAGACGTAGATTTGGTCTTTTCACATAGTCCCCTATTTCTTGGAGGCTTTGGTTTACTCTAAGACTCCCATGTAATAATAATGGGAGACTTTAACACCCCACTGTCAACATTAGACAGATCAACGAGAGAGAAAGTTAACAAGGATATCCAGGAATTGAACTCAGCTCTGCACCAAGCAGACCTAATAGACATCTACAGAACTCTCCACCGCAAATCAACAGAATATACATTCTTCTCAGCACCACACCACACCTATTCCAAAATTGACCACATAGTTGGAAGTAAAGCACTCCTCAGCAAGTGTAAAAGAACAGAAATTATAACAAACTGTCTCTCAGACAACAGTGCAATCAAACTGGAACTCAGGATTAAGAAACTCACTCAAAACTGCTCGACTAATGGAAATGGAACAACCTGCTCCTGAATGACTACTGGGTACATAACGAAATGAAGGCAGAAATAAAGATGTTCTTTGAAACCGATGAGAACAAAGACACAACATACCAGAATCTCTGGGACACATTTAAAGCAGTGTGCAGGGGAAATTTATAGTACTAAATGCCCACAAGAGAAAGCAGGAAAGATCTAAAATTGATACCCTAACATCACAATTAACAGAACTAGAGAAGGAAGAGCAAACACATTCAAAAGCTAGCAGAAGGCAAGAAATAACTAAGATCAGAGCAGAACTGAAGGAGATAGAGACACAAAACCCTTAAAAAAACCAATGAATTCAGGAGCTGGTTTTTTGAAAAGATCAACAAAATTGATAGACCGCTAGCAAGACTAATAAAGAAGAAAAGAGAGAAGAATCAAATAGACGCAATAAAAAATTATTTTTTTTATAATCATCAAAAAGGGGAGATCACCACCGATCCCACAGAAATACAAACTACCATCAGAGAATACTATAAACACCTCTATGCAAGTAAACTAGAAAATCTAGAAGAAATGGATAAATTTCTCAACACATACACCCTCCCAAGACTAAACCAGGAAGAAGTTGAATCTCTGAATAGACCAATAACAGTCTCTGAAATTGAGGCAATAATTAATTGCTTACCAACCAAACAAAGTCCAGGACCAGATGGATTCACAGCCGAATTCTACCAGAGGTACAAGGAGGAGCTGGTACCATTCCTTCTGAAACTATTCCAATCAATAGAAAAAGAGGGAATCCTCCCTAACTCATTTTATGAGGCCAGCATCATCCTGATACCAAAGCCTGACAGAGACACAACAAAAAAAGAGAATTTTAGACCAATATCCCTGTTGAACATTGATGCAAAAATCCTCAATAAAATACTGGCAAACTAAATCCAGGAGCACATCAAAAAGCTTATCCACCATGATCAAGTGGGCTTCATCCCTGGAATGCAAGGCTGGTTCAACATATGCAAATCAATAAATGTAATCCATCATATAAACAGAACCAAACACAAAAACCACATGATTATCTCCATAGATGCAGAAAAGGCCTTTGACAAAATTCAACAGCCCTTCATGCTAAAAACTCTCAATAAATTAGGTTTTGATGGGATGTATCTCAAAATAATAAGAGCTATTTATGGCAAACCCACAGCAAACATCATACTGACTCTCACCACTCCTATTCAACATAGTGTTGGAAGTTCTGGCCAGGGCAATCAGGTAGGAGAAGGAAATAAAGGGTATTCAATTAGGAAAACAGGAAGTCAAATTGTCCCTATTTGCAGATGACATGATTGTATATCTAGAAAACCCCATAGTCTCAGCCCAAAATCTCCTTAAGCTGATAAGCAACTTCAGCAATGTCTCAGGATACAAAATCAATGTGCAAAAATCACAAGCATTCTTATACACCAATAATGACAAACAGAGAACCAAATCATGAGTGAACTCCCATTCACAATTGCTTCAAAGAGAATAAAATATCTAGGAATCCAACTTACAAGGGATGTGAAGGATCTCTTCAAGGAGAACTACAAACCACTGCTCAATGAAATGAAAGAGGACACAAACAAATGGAAGAGCATTCCATACTCATGGATAGGAAGAATCAATATCGTGAAAATGGTCATACTGCCCAAGATAATTTATAGATTCAATGCCATCCCCATCAAGCTACCAATGACTTTCTTCACAGAATTGTAAAAAACTACTTTCAAGTTCATATGGAACCAAAAAAGAGCCCGCATTGCCAAGACAATCCTAAGCCAAAAGAACAAAGCTGGAGGCATCACGCTACCTGACTTCAAACTATACTACAAGGCTACAGTAACCAAAACAGCATGGTACTGGTACCAAAACAGAAATATAGACCAATGGAACAGAACAGAGCCCTCAGAAATAATACCACACATCAACAACTATCTGATCTTTGACAAACCTGACCAAAGAATGGGAGAAAATTTTTGCAATCTACTCATCTGACCAAGGGCTAATATCCAGAACCTACAAAGAACTCAAACAAATTTACAAGAAAAAAACAACCCCATCAAAAAGTGGGTGAAGGATATGAACAGACACTTCTCAAAAGAAGACATTTATGCAGCCAACAGACACATGAAAAAATTCTCATCATCACTGGCCATCAGAGAAATGCAAATCAAAACCACAATGAGATACCATCTCACATCAGTTAGAATGGCATTCATTAAAAAGTCAGGATTCTGGAAAGGATGTGGAGAAATAGGAACACTTTTACACTGTTGGTGGGACTATAAACTAGTTCAACCATTGTGGAAGACAGTGTGGTGATTCCTCAGGGATGTAGGACTAGAAATACCATTTGACGCAGCCATCCCATTGCTGGGTATATACCCAAAGGATTATAAATCATGCTGCTATAAAGACACATGCACACGTAGGTTTACTGCGGCACTATTCACAATAGCAAAGACTTGGAACCAACCCAAATGTCCAACAACGATAGACTGGATTAAGAAAATGTGGCACATATACACCATGGAATACTATGCAGACATAAAAAAGGATGAGTTCATGTCCTTTGTAGGGACATGGATGAAGCTGGAAACCATCATTCTCAGCAAACTATTGCAAGGACAAAAAACCAAACACCGCATGTTCTCACTCATAGGTGGGAATTGAACAATGAGAACACTTGAACACAGGAAGGGGAACATCACACACCAGGGCCTGTTGTGGGGTGGGTGGAGAGGGGAGGGATAGCATTAGGAGATATATCTAATGTAAATGACCAGTTAATGGGTGCAGCACACCAACATGGTACATGTATACATATGTAACAAACTTGCACTTTGTGCACATGTACCCCAGAACTTAAAGTATAATAAAAAAATATATAAAACAAAACAACAACAACAAAAAAACAAAAATGACACTCTTTTCTTCAAGTGAGCCGAGATCATGCCACTGCACTCCAGCCTGGCTACAGAGTGAGACTCCATCTTAAAAAAAAAAAAGTAATATAACTAGTACAATTTTGAGTTTAATTCTCTGAGTTAAATGTCTCTTGAATACTTTGTGCCAGGTCATTCTAGACAGCAGTCTTTATAGGTCACTCGTTCTTTCTCATTTAATTGATGAGGACCAAATCATTTTCCCAAAGGCACAGAACAGACAATGCCAGCACCAGACCCCATGATCCCATCACCCAATGTAGAGTCAGACAAGGCCATTTGTGACATTCTGATAACAATGCATCAGTGGAGAGAGGTGGAGCCAGAGGCCCTAAAATCTTCTTTGCTCCAATTTCCTTGATTGAAAGTAGCATCAAAATTGCTCCTTATTTTCCACAGTGAAAAAATGCTGCTCTTGACAAATTTTTTAAAAGGTTATATTAAGGGACACTATCTGTGAAACAAACATTTCCCAGGTTGTCTACCATCCTAACAACCACTTGCATTCAAGAAGGTAGTTTGTTTTTTATTTCACTTCAAGGATTTGGTTCAGAAATTGGCAAATAGATAGAACATTCTCAACTAAGAGCTCCTTTCATATTTTGAAATGTAAGACAGAAAACAGAATCAACAAAAATCTTTTAATAACAAGATGATAGTGCCTGGGGAGGTTATTGAAATGCAGGACACAGTGTTTCCTGGTGGTTTGAATGAGACTTGATGTAGAGAAAAGGGCCTAAAGAACGCACTTTAGACATTGTTGATCCACTCCTCTCAAGGTCCTTTAAGAACATGAAGGAAGAAGAAGAAGAACAGAAAAACTATGTACTAAGATTCAAAGGACTTGGTACGCCTACCATATCTGCCACCACTACCGTGGTACTTTGAGTAAGTCATTTAACCTCTTGAAGGTTTGATAAATCAGAGGGTTAAACCTAAGTGATCATATAAGGTTATCTTCAGTTTAGAAATTTAAAACTCTACACTTTAGCTTCAACAAAATGTTTACTCTAAACACCATTGCATCCCTTGCCCACAACGAATATATATATCCAAGTATTCCCCACAGTGAAAAATCTCACAATGTTGGATAAACTGCAGTTCTAGGAACCCATTCCCCTCTCTGAAATCAGAGTCTTCATTTTATAACACATGTCTAATCATGTCATTCCCTAGATTAAAACACACTATAATTCAATAGCTAACATTTATGGAGTGCTCACTATGTTCCAGGTTAAGTACTCCAGCTATTCTATGTACATTATGGGGTTTAAATTTTTCCATTGTTTCAACAACCCTATGAGGGAGGTTTTACTATTTTCATCCCCATTTTACAGATAAGAAAAATGAGGCATGGAGCCCATAATCCTAAACATTCTATTTTGCTGTGTCTTCTCATAGGACTGTTGAGAATGCATTGTCTCAGTTGCCCTTAGGATAAAGCTCAATTCCTAACTAAGGTGGGTTGAGTCCATGTTCAACAACCTCATTTTGGTCAGATCCTCTCCCAGTACTCTGAACTCATTGCAGTTCTTCTGAAATGCAGCCTTGAAGAGATAGGGAGAGTGTGATGTTTCCTCTGCCTCTACCATTGTTCTCTTAGATCATAAAAATGTCATAGTTCAGAATTCACTTCCTCCAAGAAAAGGTTAGTTGGTTGGGTTGGTAGGCACCCCTTTCTCATGCTCCTATATCTTTCCGTATTACTTTTACTGTAGCATGCTACAGTAAATATTCAAACAGGATATTGAAATTAACTGTTTACCTTTATGTTCCTCAGTACTGTAAGCTTCTTGGCTTTTTTCTCTTTTTCTTTTTTTAGAAACAGGGTCTCACTCTGTCACTCAGACTGGGGTGCAGTGGTGCAATCGTGGCTCACCACAGCCTTGAACTCCTAGGCCAAAAAATTTTCCCATCTCAGCCTCCTGAGTAGCTGGAATTACCATGATAAGCCCCCATGCCCAGGTCATTTTTTTAATTTTTATTTTTGTAGAGATGGTGTCTTGCTATGTTTCTCAGGCTGGTCTCAAACTCCTGGCCTCAAGCAATCCTCACACCTCAGCCTCTAAAAGTGCTGGAATTACAGGTGTGAACCACTGCACCTGGCCCTGTAAGTTTTTTGAACATGGAAACTGTGTATTCTCATGTTTATGCTCTCAAATATTCTTTGAATTCATGTAAACAAGGAAGCATATTTGCCTTTTTCCTCTTTACATTTCACATACTCAATACTACTATGTGACTTTTGAGAAACGTAGTGGATGCCATAGTGCTCCAAATTCATCTTTCTTCTTTCCCATTAAAATTTATCCATTCTGTGAACTTTCCTATCAGAGTCTTGATCTACTTGCCCATTTGTCTAATACTACTCACATTTCCCCACAAGTTTTCCAAAGGAGTTATTACAGGCATTCGAAGCACTGAGGTACATGAGCTACTTCTGACCAAGTCATTCCACCAAAAGGCCTGCCTGCTCTATCAACACATCAGGGGCCTTCCCTGCTACAGCATTATGACACTCTCGATTTTCAGAAATTTTTGATGTTCTGCAAATTAGGATGATCACCTCTATTCCTGGAAATAACGCAGAAAAAAAAATTCTAATTCAGAGAAAAGTTATTTACTAATTATAAATATTTGCCTGACATTTCCAGATTTTGCAAAAAATTCTTCTAAGATTATTTTTATTTCTTTAATCCTCAAATTGATACATGGATTTATTTATAAAGATGTAACTCTGACAATTCCATCTAGAGAGAAAAACATGAAAAAGATTTGGTATCAGAAAGTTAAATTGTATCTTCCCAGGAGAGAAAGTATAAAAAATTTTGGGAAGAAAATTCTTCACTTCACAGTTGGTCCCATGCCTGTTTAAAAGCAAGGGTTTCTCAACATTTGCACCTCTACTGTTGACTGCCTCACACAGTTTCTTGGACTTCAGGTTTGAAGTTTCTAGATTGTAAACACAGAAACATGATAGAATGTGACTACGGCAGCCAATAATGTCTGTTGCCAGTTTGAACCACTCTAAGCCCCCTAAGCATTTTTTTTTTTTTGAGACTGAGTCTCACTCTGTTGCTCAGGCTGGAGTACAGTGGTATGATCTCAGCTCACTGCAACCTCCGCCTTCGAGGTTCAAGCTATTCTCCTGCCTCAGCCTCCCAAATAGCTGAGATCACAGGTGCAAACCACTACACCGGGTTATTTATTTTATTTTTAGTAGAGACAGGGTTTCGCTATGTTGGCCAGGCTGGTCTTGAACTACTGACCTCAGGTGTTCCACCTGCCTTGACCTCCCAAAGTGTTGGGATTACAGGCTTGAGCCACCACACATGGCCAGCCTCCTAAGCTTTTAAATACTGTTTAAAAGAAACTGAAGAAAACAGGTTGCCCAAAAGGGAACAGGAAATAGCATACTGCTAGTCTGGAGAATTCTCCTTTAAGTCAGGCAAGCACAAATTGACTGGAGGTTTTTGGTGTGGAGCAATAACATTAGCAAATCCAGCAGAATTTGGTGGCATTAAATCAGCTTCTGAGATATCCAGATTTGGGCTGGAATCTAAAGTTTAGTCCTGCATGGAATGGTAATTTATTTGGCAGCATCAGGACTATAAGAATTATTGCAGAAACTATCACTTAAACAAACCTCTTTGCCTATTTCACATGAGTATAGACATGTTTAACCTTTAAATTCTGTGAAAATGTCCCCTTTGAAATTTAGATGATTTTGACTTCTGGGACTTTTCAAATAACAGAACTTCAAAAGCAAGGAGTGGGGAATCTGCATAACAGTCTTCCCTCAGCCCATTTCTCACCTGAACATTCTCAGAGAATTTTTAGTGCACCCAGGAACTTCCTCCTTTCTGTCCCTTCAGCCAGGGGAATAGAAGCAAATTGTTATAATAATAATATTTGGCACAGTACATAGCACATGGACATGTATTACCTTGGTCCTATCAATACCCCTGAAGTTAGGCTGGGGGCAGTTGCTACTATCACCATTTAGGAGATAAACAAACTGGCTACCAAAATATTAAATGACTTAACCAAATTTGCAAAGCTAAAAAATAGAGAAACCAAGATAATAATTCCAGCCTGTTGTCCCCAGGACCAGTGATTGCTGTATGTCTTGTTCTACTTATAAGATCCTGATATATATTGGGGGGCTGGCAAGATGGCCAAATAGGAACAGCTCCAGTCTGCAGCTCCCAGAGAGATGAATGCAGAAGGCAGGTTATTTCTGCATTTTCAACTGAGGTACCTGGCTCATCTCACTGGGTCTGGTTAGACAGTGGGTGCAGCCCACAGAGGTCAGACCGAAGCAGGGTGGTCGGGGAACTCCCTCCTCGGCCAAGGGAAGCCATGAGGGACTGTGCCACGAGCAATGGTACATTCCAGCCCAGGCACTGCATTGTTCCCATGGTCTTCACAACCCACAGGCCAGAGATCCCCTTGGGTGCCTACACCACTAGGGCCCTGGGTTTCAAGCACAAAAATGTGTGGCTGTTTAAACAGACACCGAGCTAGCTGCAGGAGTTTTTCATACCCCAGTGGCACATGGAATGCCAGCAAGACAGAACCATTCACTCCCCTGGAAAGGGGGCTGAAGCCAGGGAGCCAAGTGGTCTAGCCCAGCAGATCCCACCACCATGGAGCCCAGTGAGCTAAGATCCACTGGCTTGAAATTCTCGCTGCCAGCACAGCAGTCTGAAGTTGACCTGGGACACTCAAGCTTGGTGGGAGGAGGGGCATCTGCCATTAATGAGGCTTGAGTAGGTGGCTTTCCCCTCACAGTGTAAACAAAGCCACTGGGAAGTATGAACTGGCCAGAGACCACCACAGCTCAGCAAAGCCACTGTTGCCAGACTGCCTCTCTAAATTCCTCCTCTCTCGGCAGGACATCTCTGAAAAAAAGGCAGTAGCCCCAATCAGGGGCTTATAGATAAAACCCCCATTTCCATGGGAAAGAGCACCTGGGGGAAGGGACAGTTGTGGGCACAGCTTCAGCAGACTTAAACGTTCCTGCTTGCTGGCTCTGAAGAGAGCAGTGGATCTCCCAGCACAGCACTCAAGCTCTGCTAAGGGACAGACTGCCTCCTCAAGTGGGTACATGAACCCCATGCCTCCTGATTGGGAGACACGTCCCAGGAGAATTGAGAGACACCTCATACAGAAGAGCTCCGTCTGGCATCTGGCAGGTGACCCTCTGAGATGAAGTTTCCAGAGGAAGGAATAGGCAGCAATCTGTGCTATTCTGCAGCCTCCACTAGTGATATCCAGGAAAAGAGGGTCTGGAGTAGACCTCCAGGAAACTCCAGCAGACCTGCAGCAGAGAGGCCTGACTGTTAGAAGGAAAACTGACAAACAGAAAGGAATAGCATCAACATCAACAAAAAGGTCATCCACACAAAAACCCCATCAGAAGGTCACCAATATCAAAGACCAAAGGTAGATAAATCCACGAAGATGAGGAAAAACCAGCACAAAAAGACTGAAAATTCCAAAAATCAGAATGCTTCTCCTCCAAAGGATCACAACTCCTCACCAGCAAAGGAACAAAACTGGATGGAGAATGAGTTTGATGAATTGACAGAAGAAGGTTTCAGAAGGTGGGTAATAACAAACTCCTCTGAGCTAAAAGAACATATTCCAACCCATTCTTAGCAGAAAAGCTAAGAAACTTGAAAAAAGGTTAGAGAAAATGCTCACTAGAATAACCAGTTCAGAGAAGAACATAAATGATCTGATGGAGCTGAAAAACACAGCATGAGAACTTCATGAAGCATACACAAGTATCAACAGCCAAATTGATCAAGTGGAAGAAAGCATATCAGAGATTGAAGATCAACTTAATGAAATAAATCATGAAGACAAGATTAGAGAAAAAGAATGAAAAGGAATGAACAAAGCCTCCAAGAAATATGGGACTACGTGGACTATGTGGAAAGACCAAACCTATGTTAGATTGGTGTACCTGAAAGTGACAGGGAGAATTGAACCAAGTTGGAAAACACTCTTCGGGATATTATCCAGGAGAATTTCCCCAACCTAGCAAGACAGGCTAACATTCAAATTAGGGAAATACAAAGAACATCACAAAGATATTCCTTGAGAAGGGCAACCCCAAGACATATAATCGTCAGATTCACCAAGGTTGAAATGAAGGAAAAAATATTAAGGACAGCCAGAGAGAAAGGTCGGGGTACCCACAATGGGAAGCCCATTAGACTAACAGCAGATCTCTCTGCAGAAACCCTACAAGCCAGAACAGAATGGGGGCCAAACTTTAACATTCTTAAAGAAAATAATTTGCAACCCAGAATTTCATATCCAAACTAAGCTTCATAATTGAAGGAGAAATAAAATCCTTTACAGACAAACAATGCTGAGAGATTTTGTCACCACCAGGCCTGCCTTACTAAGAGCTCCTGAAGGAAGCACTAAATATGGAAAGAAAAAACCAGTACCAGCCACTGAAAAACATACAAAATTGTAAACACCATTGACAGTATGAAGAAACTGCATCAACTAACGGGCAAAATAACCAGTTAGCATCATAATGACAGGATCAAATTCACACATAACAATATTAATCTTAAATGTAAATGAGCTAAATGCTCCATTTAAAAGACACCGACTGGCAAATTGGATAAAGAGTCAAGACCCATCAGTGTGCTGTATTCAGGAGACCCATCTCACATGCAGAGACACATATAGGCTCAAAATAAAGGGATGGAGGAATATTTACCAAGCAAATGGAAAGCAAAAAGAAGCAAAGGTTGCAATCCTAGTTGCTGATAAAACAGACTTTAAACCAACCAAGATCAAAAAAGACAAAGAAGGGGATTACATAATGGTAAAAGGATTGATGCAACAAGAAGAGCTAACTACCCTAAATATATATGCATCCAATACAGGAGTACCAAGATTCATAAAGAAAGTTCTTAGAGACCTACAAAGAACCTTAGGCTCCCACATAATAATAGTGGGAGACGTTAACACCCCACTGTCAAGATTAGACAGATCAATGAGACAGAAAGTTAACAAGAATACCCAGGATTTGAACTCAGCTCTGGACCAAGAAGATCTAATAGACTTCTACAGAACTCTCTACACAAATCAACAGAATATACATCCTTCTTAGCAACACATTGCACTTATTCTAAAATTGACCACATAATTGGAAGTAAAACACTCCTTAGCAAATACAGAAGAATGGAAATCATAACAAACAGTCTCTCAGACCACAGTATAACCAAATTTGTACTCAGGATTAAGAAACTCACTCAAAACCACATAACTACATGGAAACTGAAAAAACTGCTCTAAATGACTACTGGGTAAATAACAAAATGAAGGCAGAAATAAATAAGTCCTTTGAAACCCATGAGAACAAAGTCACAATGTACAAGAATCTCTGGGACTCAGCTAAAGCAGTGTTTACAGGGAAATTTAGAGCACTAAATGCCCATAGAAGAAGGTAGGAAAGATCTAAAATCAACACCCTAACATCACAATGAAAAGAACTGAGAAGCACAAGCAAACAACTTCAAAATCTACCAGAAGACAAGAAATAACTAAGATCAGAGCAGAACTGAAGGAGATAGAGACGCGAAAAACCCTTCAAAAAATCAACGAATCCAGGAGATGGTTTTTTGAAAAAATAAACAAAATAGACTGCTAGCCAGACTAATAAAGAAGAGAGAAGAATCAAATAGACACAATAAAAAATGATGAAGGGGATACCACCACTGATCCCACAGAAATACAAACTACCATCAGAGAATACTATAAACACGTCTACACAAATAAACTAGAAAATTTAGAAGAAATGGATAGGTTCCTGGACACATACACCCTCCCAAGACTAAACCAGAAAGAAATCAAATCACTGAAAAGACCAATAACAAGTTCTGAAATTGAGGCAGTAATTCATAGCCTACCAATCAAAAAAGGTCCAGGACCAGACGGATTCACAGCCAAATTCTACCAGAGGTGCAAAGAGGAGCTGGTACCATTCCTTATAAAACTCTTCCAAATAATAGATTCTGGTATGTTGTATCTTTGTTCTCATTGGTTTGAAAGAACTTATTTATTTCTGCCTTAATTTCATTATTTACCCAGTAGTCATTCAGGAGAAGGCTGTTCAGTTTCCATGTAGTTGTGTAGTTTATAGAATAAAATACCTAGGAATACAACTTACAAGGGATGTGAAGGACCTCTTCAAGGAGAACTACAAACCACTGCCCAAGGAAATAAGAGAGAATACAAACAAATGGAAAACCATTCCATGCTTATGGATAGGAAAAATCAATATCATGAAAATGGCCATGCTGTCCACATTAATTTATAGATTCAATGTTATCCCCATCAAGCTACCAATGACTTTCTTCACAGAATTAGGAAAAAACTACTTTAAATTTCATATGGAAACAGAAAAGAGACCGTATTGCCAAGACAATCCTAAGCCAAAAGAACAAACCTGGAGGCAACACGCTACCTGACTTCAAACTATACTACAAGGCTACAGTAACCAAAACAGCATGATATTGGTACCAAAACAGATATATAGACCAATGGAACAGAACAGAGGCCTCAGAAATAATGTCACACATCTACAACTATCTGATCTTTGACAAACCTGACAAAAATAAGCAATGGGGAAAGGATTACCTATTTAATAAATGGTGTTGGGAAAACTGTCTAGCCATATGCAGAAAATTAAAACTGGACCCCTTCTTTACACCTTATAGAAAAATTATCTCAAGATGGAATAATGACTTAAATGCAAGACCTAAAACCAAAAAAACCCTAGAGGAAAACCTAGGCAATACCATTCAGGACATAGGCATGAACAAAGACTTTATGATTAAAACACCAAAGAGCAATGGCAACAAAAGCCAAAATTGACAAATGGGATCTAATTAAACTAAAAAGTTTCTACACAGCAAAAGAAACTATCATCAGAGTGAACAGGCAACCTACAGAATGTGAGAAAATTTTTGCAATCTATCCATGTGACAAAGGACTAATATCCAGAATCTACAAGGAACTTAAATTTATAAGAAAAAAAACAACCCCATCAAAATTGGGCGAAGGATATGAACAGACACTTCTCAAAAGAACACATTCATGCAGCCAACAAACATGAAAAAAAGCTCATCATCACTGGTCATTAGAGAAATGCAAATCAAAACCACAATGAGATACCATCTCATGCCAGTTAGAATGGTAATCATTACAAAGTCAGGAAACAACAAATGCTGGAGAGGATGTGGAAAAATAGGACGCTTTTACATTGTTGCTGGGAGTGTAAATTAATTCAACCATTGTGGAAGGCAGGGTGGTGATTCTTCAAGGATCTAGAATCAGAAATACCATTTGACCCAGCAATCCCCTTACTGGGCATATACCCAAAGGTTTATAAATCATTCTACTATAAAGACACATGCACACATATGTTTTTTGCAGCACTATTCACAATAGCAAAGATTTGCAACCAACCCAAATGCCCATCAATGGTAGACTGAATAAAGAAAATGTGGCACATATACACCATGGAATATTATGCAGCCATAAAAGGATGAGTTCATGTCCCTTTGCTGGGACATGGATGAAGCTGGCAACCATCATTCTCAGCAAAGTAACACAGGAACAGAAAACCAAACACCACATGTTCTCACTCATAAGTGGGAGTTGAACAATCTGAACACATAGACACAGGAAGGGGAAAATCACACACCACGGCCTGTCATGGGGTGGGAGGGCTAGCGGAGGGATAGCATTAGGATAAATACCTAATGTTGATGATGGGTTGATAGGCGTAGAAAACCATCATGGCACGTGTATACCTATGTAACAAACCTGCACGTTCCGCACATGTATCCCAGAACTTAAAGTATAAAAAAAAAGATCCTGATATATGTAATTATCTAACAGGAACAAGCACATATCAGGCTCTTAATAAATACCAGTAGGATGAATGAATGTTTATGATAGGGAGGAAGTAGGAAACTTACTATGTGTCTGGGGAATTAGAAGGTACCTACCACATTGAACCTCATGTAATCCTCACAGCTACTCTATGAGGCAGTGACTATTACCATTTTCGTCTTACTAATGCAAGAAATGAATTTTTGAGATGCTTACTGTGTAACTTATTGGAATATTATCATCAGCTAGGTATTGTATAAATTGCTTTACATAATTATCCCATTTAATCTTTATAACAATCTTATCTGATAAGTACTGTTACAATTTTTCAGATGTTACAGAAAACTAAAGTTTAAAAAAGTTAAGAAGCTTGCCCTAGGGCAGAAAGAGTGCTCAGTTAGATCCAAAGTCTGGAATTCTGATGCTTTATCACTGAACAGCCCTGGGTCTTCTCTGTTGAATAAGTCGTGGCTCACAAGGCACATCAGGGCTGGAGTTACAATTTAACTTCAGATTTCACAACTGTATTAGTTCCTTCCCATGCTGCTATGAAGAGATACCTTGAGACTGGGTAATTTATAAAGAAAAGAGGTTTAACTGACTCACAGTTTTGCATGGCTGGGGAGGTTTCAGGAAACTTACAATGATGGGGGAAGGTACCTCTTCACAGGGTGGCAGGAGACAGAATGAGTGCTGAGCAAAGGGGGAAGCCCCTTAGAAAACCACCAGATCTTGTGAGGACTCACTATCATGAGAACAGCATGGAGGGACCACCCCCATGATCTAATCACCTCCCATGAGGTCCCTCTCCCAACACATGGGGATTACAATTCAGATTACAATTCAAGATGAGATTTGGGTGGGGACACAGAGCCAGACCATATCAACAACTCATTCTGTTTCACCTAGAGCACACTCTCCTGCTGGGTCACTACGTACAACTTTAAGTATTGAAGAACTAACAATTGAACATTGTCAAAATATCTGTTCTTATATTAAATGTCTTACAGGAATTATAAACTCATCATAAATGAAACAACATTTTAAAACTGGTTTTGCAGAAATTCTCTAAATGAAAAAAAAAACAAAAAAATACAAGTTCTGCTCTCTTGGAGTGGTGTTTGTTTGCTTGTTTTATGATGGTTAAAACTTGCAGAGACTCAAAATTCCTCATTAACGTTAAAACAGTTGCTGATATACAATGAATTCATCTTTAAATGTAGGCAAGAATCACCCTGATTCTTATTTTGTAGAGGATTGAGGGGAAAGCAAAAGCCCTCCATATAAGATGAGGACTTCAAGATCTGTAAGTAAATGACAAATATGTCCTATATTCCAGCAGACCAGAACATCTAAAACTTTGATACACAAATGGTTTGGTGCTGGGAAATTCTGTAGTGCAATTTTTTTTTTTAGGTTTTAAAATATCTATGCCTCTCTCCTCTCAAAAGAGATATAGAAATACATGCTATTTTTATAAGTTTATAGTACATTTTATATTAAGATCTTTTTGAAAATTTAATGACACTACCTGCGCTACAGTGCCATGCTACAAAATAAGAATTCGGAATCACTGGTTGAGTGCTACCAAAAACCCCAGCTATATAATTGCAATAAGTGCTGAGTCATGGGAAAATCGTTCTGTGGAAGCCAAGTGCCAAAAACATCACTCCACAAACAAAGACTGAAAAGTATTTAGTGGAATATAGGAGATGGGATATATCCACAAAACTATAATGTAATTTAATTCTGCAAATATTTATTAAGAATCTATTTTATGCCCAGAACCATATAGATCTGGTCTTAGATACAATGGTAAATAACTTCTGGTTTCTGCCATCTTGTAATTCACAATCTAGTGAAGGAAATAAAATATACATTATATACTAAAAAAGGTAGAGGGGAATATAAAGTTTTAAATAACAAGCTCTGAGAATACTGGGGCTGAAAGAGATCAGTTCCAGGGAGAAAGATCTGGAATCAGTCCTTGTAGGTGCTTCCTACTCACCTACAAACCAACAGGGAAAGTATGGGTACACATCAGTGAGGATAGCAGTTCAGTGGAATGCTTAACTGCCTTAATCCTACTTTATCATCCTGAAACATCAGACACCTTTAGTTACTCTTTCCTTCTCTCAGTTTCTCCTCATTTTCCTTCTTTCCCTCTCCCACTGCCTTTGTCTCTCTCTCCTTCTTCCTCTTCCCCTCCCTCTTTACCCTTCCTCTATCTGTCTTTCTGTCTCTGTCTCTCCCTCTCTCTTCTCTCCATTTTTCCCTCCTCTTCTTATCCATAGTAATGCTTCCTACCAGTGTTTCTACAAGTTTCTTTTATCTGCCATGTACTCCCTCTGGTAACAATATTCTTCATACCTCCAAAATATGCTGATGTCTCCAAATCTACATTCCTTGTTCTACCTACTGTCTGCATTTGAAACCTTTACATCAAACTGTACTTGATTATCCTATTGATGCCTAAACTCATTATGTTTCAAACCATATTCAGTTTCTTTCAAATGTGCTTCTCTTCCTGAAATCTCTATCCTATGAGTGGCACCACAATCCACTGAGGGAGTGGGGATAAAAGACTGAGGAATACCCTAACCTCATCTCACTCATTCCTCTTCCAGAAAGCCAGCAAGGCCTACGGATTCTGTACTTCATCAGTGTATCCCTTGGTTCTACCCTCTTTATGACCTTGGTAATAGCTTTAAGTCAGTCCTCATCGCCTTTTCTTTTCTTGTATCCCCCCTTTTTTTTTGTATCCAACCTGTCACCTGTCTTCTTGCTGCAAAGTAAGACTTCTTAATCTGAAACCAAAATTTCTTGACTCAATATTTATGCTGAACATTATATGAAATAACAGGGGTTTCACACTCCTGGGTAGGTTTGCACGTAAGACACCTACCTATCTCCCTAGCCTCAATACTCAAGGCTGTTCGTAATCAGCCGCCAGCCTCTTCATCACCTCTCAGCCCCTCAATTTTACCATATTACTTTCAGGGATTAAAAAGCATTATACCGTATAATACCTTTATGCCTGCCAACAATATTTTGCCTAGGACTTTTTCCGTCCTCTCATATAGTAATCCAGTCTTCAAAAGTCAGCTCAATTATAATCTACTCCTCAACGGTCCACAGTTTCATTTATATGACCTTTCTCTGCTACCACAGAACACATGCACACTTTTATTAAAATTATTCTTCATTTACACACATTTCCTTCTCCTTAAACTAATCGTTTTTAACCTTTTGGGAGAGCCATTTAAGTTAAATTATGGAGATTCTAATAAACACTTTAGACACACATTCTAGAAAAATGTGTTCACAATTTCAGGTGCACACGGATACCTATACAAGGATTTCCCAAGGAATCCCCATGGACTCCAGAACAAGTGCCATTCCTAGATAAAAAGCTCCTTGAAGATAGAGGCTATATTTCTTTATTTGACTTTCTTTTCCCAATATCTAACACAATGTCTAGCATAAAGTACTGTAATCCCTCAATAAATGTTTATTAAATGAGCAAAGAATAGGTCTTTGACATTTGGATATGTCAGAGAGATGGAGGAAGAAAAGAGGTCTTTTAAGACAGATGAAACAGCTTGATGGACTGTGCATTCCATAAAAGGAATTAGTTTTAACCGTACAGACAATGTGTACCTAGTTTACTTTGGAAGGGGTTAAAACAGTAGGTAAAATTTAGGGTTCAAGTAATGCTTTTAAAATGAAGAAAATATAAACTGAAGGCCTCATAAGCATAACTATGTATCTGAAAATTATTGAATGGATAAACTTTAAGAATATGTAATTTGGGCTGCTCATCACCCCCCAAATTGCCTGCTTTCAGTGCCTCCAGCTGAAAGATAGACTACTCTATGTAATTAAATAATAGTGGAATTAATCAGAACAATCAACAGATTATTGAAAATCACATCTAGTACATTGCATCATGCTAATCTGACTCAAGGAGTGTGTGTTTTCACGTGGCTCACTAGTCATTGGTAATTGTATGGTTGCTCTGAAAATTCATGTTTACTTCTCCAAGACAGGATCAAAAGATTAGATTACAATAACCACTACAATAGCAATGTTGTAATGTCTTCTTTTAGTAGTTTCATAGTTTGAGGTTATAAATTTAAGACTTTAATCAATTTTGAACTGATTTTTGTATATGTCAAGAGATAGGGGTCTAGTTTCATTCTTCTGCATATAGATATCCAATTTTCTCAGTACCATTTATTGAGTATAGTAGCATAAGAATTCAGTCCAAGAAATATACCCCATCTAGTTTTTCTCTTCTACCTTTTGTTCTAAAAGTGTCCCTGCTGGGGAGTAGTAAACAAATGAAATGATTAATGATTAACTCCCAAAATTGAATACACATTAATGCTCTCATTCCTTTCACAGCCTAAATTCTAATTCATAAAATATTAAATATATAACATTATATATATTGTATATATTTGAAGAACATTTTTTAATTTTTAATTTTTGTGGGTACATAGTACATGTATATTTTATGGGTTACATGAGATATTTTGATATAGTCATACAATGCATAATAAAGTAAATGGGGTATCCATCAGCTCAAGCATTTATCCTCTGTGTTACAAACAATCCAATTATACTCTCTTATTTTTAAATATACAATAAATTACTGTTGACTGTATCGCCCTGTTGTGCTATCAAATACTAGGTCTTATTCAATCTATCTAACTTAATTTGTGTACCCATTAACTGTCCCCACATCCTGACACTCCCTCACTATCCTTAGCCTCTGGTAACCATCCTTCTACTATCTCCATGAGTTCAATTGTTTTAATTTTTATCTCCTACAAATGAGTGAGAACATTTGAAGTTTGTTTTTCTGTGCCTGGCTTATTTAACATAATGACCTCCAGTTCCATCCATGTTGGTGCAAATGACTGGACCTCATTCTTTTTTATGTCTGAATGGTGCTACATTGTGTATAGGTACCATATTTTCTTTATCCATTCTTCTGTTGATGGATACTTAGGCTGTTTTCCAATGTTGGCTATTGTGCATAGTGCTGAGAGTGCAGATATCTCTTCCATATACTGATTTTCTTCCTTTTGTGTATATAGCAATGAGATTGCTGGATCATATGGTAGCTCTATTTTTAGTTTTTTGAGTTTTCCATAGTGGTTGTACTACTTTACATTGCCACCAACAGTGTATGAGGGTTCCCTTTTTTCCACATCCTTGCCAGCATTTGTTATTGCCTGTCTTTTGGATAAAAGCCATTTTAACTGGGGTAAAATGAAATCCCATTGCAGTTTTGATTTGCACTTCACTGATAATCAATGATATTGAGTATCTTTTTATATACCTGTTTGTTGTCTTTTGAGAAATGTTTATCCAGATCTTTGGCCCATTTTTGTAATTGTATTATTAGATCACTTCCTATAGCTTTGTTTGAACTCCTTATATATTCTGGTTATTAATCCCTTTTCAGATGAATAGTTTGCAAATATTTTCTCCCATTCGGTGGGTTGTTACTTCACTTTGTCGACTGTTTCCTTTGCTATGCAGATGCTTTTTAACTTGATGTGATCCCATTTGTCCATTTTGGCTTTGGTTGCCTGTGCTTGTGGTGTATTATTCAAGAAATCTTTGCCCTGTCCAATGTCCTGGAGAGTTTCCCTAATGTCTTCTTTTAGTGGTTTTATAGTTTGAGGTTATAAATTTAAGACTTTAATCAATTTTGAATTGATTTTTGTATATGTCAAGAGATAGTGTGGTCTAGTTTCATTTTTCTGCATATAGATATCCAATTTTCTCAGTACCATTTATTGAAGATACTATCTTTTCCGAAGTGTATGTTGCTGGCACCTTTGTTGAAAATGAGTTCACTGTAGGTGTATAGATTTGTTTCTGCGTTGTCTATTCTGTTCCATTGGTCTATGTGTCTGTTGTTATGCCACTACCATGTAGTTTTGGTTACTATAGCTCTGTAGTATAATTTGAAGTCAGGTAATCTGATTCTTCCAGTTTTGTTCTTTCTGCTCAAGATAGCTTAGGCAATTCTGAGTCTTTTATGGTTTCATAAAAATTTTAGGTTTTTCTATATCTGTGAATAATGTCATTGGTAGGGATTGCACTGACTCTGTTAATTGCTTTCGTTGGTACGGACATTTTAACGATATTGATTCTCCCAATCTATAAGCATGTAATATCTTTCCATTTCTTTGTCTTCTTAAATTTCTTGCATCAATGTTTTATAGTTTTCATTATAGAGATCTTTCACGTCTTTGGTTAAGTTCTAGGTATTTCAGTTTATTTGTGGCTATTGTAAATGGGTTTGCTTTTTAAATTCTTTTTCTGATTGTTCACTGTTGGCATATAGAAATGGTACTGATTCCTGTATGTTGATTTTGTATTCTGCAAATTTACTGAATGTATCAGTTCCAATAGTTCTTTTGGTGGAATCTTTAGGTTTCTGCAAACATAAGATCATATCATTTGCAAACAGGGATAATTTGACTTCTTTCTTTCCAATTTGGATGCCATTAATTTCTCTCTCGTCTGACTGCTCTAGCTAGAACTTCCAGTATGGTGTTGAATAACAGTGGTGAAAGTGGCATCCTTGTGTTCCAGAACTTAGAGGAAAGGCTTTCAGTTTTTCCCCATTTAGAATGATACTAGCTGTGGGTCTCTCATACATGGCTGATATGGTTTGGCTCTGCATCCCCACCCAAATCTTATCTTGAATTGTAATCCCCACATGTCAGCCTTCTGCCACGATTGTAAGTTTCATGAGGCCTCCCCAGCCATGCAGAACTGTGACTCAATTAAACTTCTTTTATTTATAAATTACCCAGTCTCATGTAGTATCTTTACAGCAGTGTGAAAATGGACTAATACAATTGGCTTTAATTGTGTTATGTTCCTTCTATATCTAATTTTTTGAAGGTTTATATCTTGAAAGTATATTGAATTTTATCAAATGCTTTTTTCAGCATCAGTTGAAAGGATCAAAAATGGTTTTTGTCCTTCATTCTGTTGATATGATGTAGCACATTGATGAATTTGCATATGTTGAATCATCCTTTCATCCCTGGGATAAAACTCACTTGGTCATGGATGAATGATTATTTTAATGTATTGTTGAATTTGATTTGTGAGTATTTTGTTGATGATTTTTACATCAATGTTTATCAGGAATACTGACCTATAGTTTTCCTTTTTTAATAAGTCTTTGTCTGATTTTGGTATCAAGGTAATACTGACCTCATAAAATGAGTTAAGTATTTCCTTCTTCTCTATTTTTTTGGACTAGTTTGAGTAGGAATGATATTAGTTCTTTTTTAAATGTTTGGTAAAAGTCAGCAGTGAAGTCATTGAGTCCTGGGCTTTTCTTTCTGGGATACTTTTTATTACAGCTTTAATCTCATTACATGTATTTTAGTCCATTCTCACATCTCTATAAAGAACTACCTGAGACTGGGTACTTTATAAAGAAAAGGTGTTTAATTGGCTCACAGTTCCACAGGCTGTAAAGGAAGCATGGCTGGGGAGGCCTAAGGAAACTTATAATCATGGCAGAAGGTGAAGGGGAAGCAGGCACATCCTACATACCTGGAGAAGGAGGAATAGGATGAGAAGGGGGAAGTGCTACACACATTTATACACAACAAGATCTCATGAGGACCCACTCAGTAGCATGAGAACAGCAAGGGGGAGGTTCACCCCCATGACCCAATCACCTCCCTCCTCCAACATTGAGGATTACAATTTGGACAGGAATACAAATCCAAACCATATCAACATTATTATTGTTCTGTACAGATTTTGGATTTATGGTTCAATCTTGCTGGGTTGTATGTTTCTAGGAATTTATCCATTTTTTTCTAGGTTTTCCAATTCACGGGCATATAGTTGCTCATAGTAGCCTCTAATGATCATTTGAATTTCTGCAGTATTGGCTGTAATGTCTCCTTTTTCATCTCTGATTTTATTTATTTGGGTCTTCTCTATTTTTTTCTTAGTCTGTGTAAAGGTTCTTCATTTTGTTTATTTTTCAAAAAACCAACTTTTTTAAGTTGATCTTCTGTATTGTTTTCTTCATTGAAATGTCACTTATTTCTGCTCTGATCTTTACAATTTCTTTTCTTCTACTAATTTTTGGTTTGGCTTGCTCTTGCTTTCCTAGTTCTTTAGGGGGCATTACTGGATTGTTTTTTTGAAATTTGAAAAACACTATATTGATATTGGTTGACAGTCTAGATTTTGAGGTCAGAAAAACTGGGATTCAAGCCCCTGCTCCACTGATTTTAGCTGTGGTATTTTAGACAAGTTTTTTGTTGTTGTTTTTTGTTTTTGAGATGGAGTCTCACTCTGTTGCCAGGCTGCCAGGCTGGAGTGCAGTCGTGCCATCTCAGCTCACTGCAAACTCCGCCTCCCGGGTTCAAGTGGTTCTCCTTCCTCAGCCTCCCAAGTAGCTCAGACTACAGGTGCACGCCACCACAGCCAGCTGATTTTTGTATTTTTAGTAGAGTCGAGGTTTCACCATGTTGGCCAGATGGTCTCAATCTCTTGACCTCATGATCCACCTGCCTCAGCCTCCAAAAGTGCTGGGATTGCAGGCGTAAGCCACAGCGCCCAGCCAGTTATTTTACAGTTGAGAAAATTAGGGTTTTAAGAGGGTAAAGAAAATTTAATCTTACAAAATGGTACCTCTAAGTTATTATTTCAGTAAGTACATTTTTCACATTAAATCTGAAAGTAGTTATGTAGATTTGTATTTGACATTGCAGGAAATATTTACTTTCATGGCATCTAATGAGAGTTCAACATTATAGCAGCCTAAATTTTAGAATTCCTAGTAATCATTTAAAATAATATAAATTGCAGATGGACAGTCCAGTAAATGCTCATTTAAGACCCTCAATAAGTATTAAGCAAAGAATTTAAAAGGAACACATGACAATTATATTGAGGCATCAAATGTAGATAGCCTTTCCAAGAATATTTTTACATGATCATTTCACAAATATGAAAATGAAATACACAAAACAAGTTTCCTGTTGTTACAAAAGCTATTAGAATTAGATGTATGAAGAAAAGCCATTGATCTGTATGTCTAGAAACCACCTTGAAAGGAAATCAAATCTGCTGTGTAACAACCAACACTTGTTAAGCTTTATGTCAGTTATTTAGTACTTAGAATAATTTCAATTTTTCATGTTTTACATAAGAAAAGAAAGTTGTTTGCTTTCATGTCAACACCTGCTTCCTTTTAGCCAAAAGAAGCAGGTAAGGGAAGTCAAAAACTTCCCTGGCTTTGGACCAATTAACAAATATGACATTTAATTCTTCATTATGGAGAGGAGGTAAACATCGGGTCAGTATTTAAGCCTGTTCCTGCTGCTGGGGGGCATTGGTCCAAGACTGAATAGCATCTCTGGGCAATGGACAAGCAGGCAAGAGACGAGAAATAGGGAACTTCAGTGCAAGAACAATAAGAGGTCTCTCTGCTCATAACAGCGTCACGCTGACCACTCCCTGGAGGAAAGCTTGTATCTTCCTCAGGACAGTTTATTAGGACCTTGAGGTTGGATCTCTGAATGCTCACTCACAAGGGCCCCATGAATCAGGACAGATTTTAGGTCCATCCCCTTTGGCTCATCTGCTGAACAAACCAGGAAAATGCTTATTATGCAGATCAGCTCAGCAGTCTGCATGATTTAAAATTTAATCCTTATATATTCTGAATGCTGGCACACATCTATTATTTACAGGATGAAGAATTTATAGCCACTACATAATAGCTTTTGGTGGGCGTGGAGGGGAGCTAAGTACAGAAATTCAAAGATTTTTGCCTCCATTTTTCTGTGAAACTTTTATAGAGCTAATGACTTGTCTATGATCAAAAAACTAGTCACTAGTGAATCTTAGATCCAATCTAGAAATCTCTGATTCCCTGTTGGTATTCCGTTTATGAGTCTGGTGGATGGGGTGAATAACCTCACTACACCTCATAATACTGGGAGGAGTTTCCCTCTACAAATTAAAATGGACATATTTCTCATCTAGATCCCAGAAAAAAAAAAAAAAAAGATGTATCAGCAATCTCTAAAGTCCTGTTTCAGATCCTCTAGTCTTCTCCTGTCTCTTGGTCTAGCTGCTGTTATAGTACTCTTTTTTGTTTGTTTTTGTTTTGCTTTGTTTTATTCTGTTTTTGAGACAGAGTCTCGCTCTGCTGCCCAGGCTGGAGTGCAGTGGCACCATCTCGGCTCACGGCAGCCTCCACCTCCCAGGTTCAAGCAATTCTTGTGCCTCAGCCTCCTGAGTAGCTGCAATTACAGGCACATGCCACCATGCCCAGCTAATTTTTTTTGTATTTTTAGTAGAGATGGGGTTTCACCATGTTGGTCAGGCTGGTATCAAACTTCTAGCCTCAAATGTTCCACCCGCTTCAGCCTGCCAAAGTGCTGGGATTACAGGTGTAAGCCACCTCATCCAGCCTGTCATAGTACTCTTTATGGGATCTGAGGCAACCTGACAACACCTTATCTCATGCGGGTGGAGATGCGTTGTACCACTCACCTCCTCCCTAGAGTGACATGGACTGAGACCCCATATTATGTTTACACATGCCTAACCTAGAAAAACAAGTGTGTCAATGTCCTGTAGAACACACCCTTAACCAGGGGAATAAAAGGAGATTTTGGGTAATTCTTTACCCTTCTTCCTCACTAATGGATTATTCTGAACAACAGTTTGTATGACTTCTTAAGGACCGTCTTTTTGTCTTTTAGGATCAAGCATTCTTATCTTGACTCTTTCTCCTTTCCTGCTTCACTGCCTACAGTGTAAGGGAGGAACACGCTATCATTAAGACTGAAGTCCTCTGTATGTATCATTCAGAAGTCACTATTGTAAGGTATAGTTAGCATAAATCATGCTGTCACAAGCCATAAAGCCTATTAAATTTGAGAAAGCATAGTATTGCAATGAGAAAGTGATGATGAGAGGGTACATGGAATAAAAAAGGGTAAAAATCCAGACTATTATTGCTAGAGCCGTCTTTATGGATGGTTTGTTCAACCCCTGCATTTTAGAAATAAGGAAACTATAGCCAGAGAAGTTAGGTGACCTCTTTCAAGTCACACAGCCAGTTGATGGAACAGTCTGGGTGACCTCCAGGTCTCCCTGTGTCTCAACAGTCTGCTTCTCCCACTGAATCCTGATCAGTGACATCAAAATTCTGTCCCCTTGGCAGTTTTGGCACACAGAACAAATAATGTGTCATCAGGCCCCCAGAGTTTAATGAAAAATATTCAGCAAGGGCTCCAACTCATCATTCTTGGTGCTCCCACATCTTTTGGGTTATCACTTTTCACAGCTGATTTGATTCCAAAACGGGATAGCCATGATTGTTGTACATAAGTATTCACTCTACCTAATAGCTGCATACCCAAATGTAAATTATTTTGAATCAGTTCTTCAGAGCCCAATGCCTCTAAGTAAATGAATAGTTAAAATTTTGTTTCCTGAATTGGAGAGCCAGAAGACAAGACTTCAGAGCATGTGACTACAGCGACATTTGAGCATTTGCCCAACACAGAAGCCAGACTCCAATCCATATGACTTTCTCCTCCTCTTTAGTCCCAATCCATGAACAAAAAGTTTGCTCCATACATCACATCAGTTTAACTCAACGAACATCTGATGATGATGAGGGTCCACTTATGTACAAGGAGCTGAGTGAATGAAAAGCCAGGCATCCCTTTGAGAATCTGCTCAAGTGCTTTCTAGTTCACAAAAACTTTCAACAGATACAATGGCTCTCTCTACCTAAGGGTCAAAAGTGCTTAACCAATGCACATGAAAAAGTGTGGCATAATCAATATCACACTTTTCTCCTTTCAAGAAGAAACTTTATGAGGGCAGGAACTGTTTATGTGTGTGTTTTGCTGACTACTCTAATCTCTAGTTTCTAACACAGTGTACACCACATGTACTGGCTGGGCATTTAATAAATATTTGTTGCATTAACTTGTCTTCTCCTTGCCTGTAGGATAACCGACTTGTCTCAATTTGCTAATGACTTTCTTGGTTTTGCATGAAAGTTCTGCACCCCAGGAAACCCCTCGGTCCCAGACAAATGGAGAAGATTGGGCATCCTCCTGTAGGAGTTTACAAGCTGATCATGTTGGGAAAACCATGTCTTTTAAAAGTATGTATCCCAAGACTCTGCTGGGCATATAATAAATAGCAAATATTCACTTATCCTGGACACTAACTGGAATGCTTTCAAAAGAGACTGTTTTCCCAGACAATTCCCAAAAATTTACTAATACTACCCTCACATGATTAGAATTATCTCAGAAAATCTTTTCTCTGGCAAAAAATAAAATTGCTTATCGTTAAAATCTGACTCACAGAGATACTTAAGTAACCAAGGATTAGGGCAGTTCAGAAGGAAGAGGAGAGCATAGTGACCTAGAAAGTCTCTGTGAAGGGCCATGAAAGTCACAAAACATCAAAGTGAGGAGAGGCAATTTCCCTTAGTTATTAGTAAGTGACTACATCTTGTAACCCTTCTTTGAAGCAGCAGAACTGGCAGTCCTTTTTTTTTTGGTCCCACATCCTGGAGGTGTGGTATTAAAAACTGTAGAAAGCATTGCGCAGTAGTTTAAGGTTTTATATTAACTTTTTTGATCCAATTTCCCTTTTGTCTTATGTCTCAGATAATGCAATGCATACATTCTAACTGTATTAAAAATAAGAAAGTATATCAAGTAAATAATTTCAAGTGCAGTCCCCACTCCATGCCCAACCCTACCAAAATCTTTCCCTCCCCATAGAGAACTGCTTTAAATAGTTTATTGTGGCTCATTCTTGTGTTTCTCTTGTGGAATTCATGCATATATTATATATAATTTTTTCAAAAGCAGATTCATTCTTTTCTACATATATACGTGTGCATATATATCCCAGAACTTTTTATTATTACTATAATATAGATTTACCTCATTACTTTTCCTAGATTGAAGCTGTACCATATGGGTGTAACAATGTAACTATTTTCTCATTTGTATACATTTAGTTTGCTTCTAAGTTTTTGCTGTCACTATTAGTGCTACAAAGAACACACGTACCTGTTTTACTGTGGTATTGAAAGGTAGGTGGATTTTAAATTTGATATATTCAATTACTGTGTTTATAAATGGTGTATTTTTTTGGAGGGCAACTTGGGCAGTATCTGGGAGTACCTAAAAAGTTGCCAACCTGGCAGGGAAAAGAAATATATTACAGTATCATGTTACTTTCCTTCATTATTAGTTAGATAAGTTTTATTCATTAAATCAACAACTTTTTTTGACAATATGGAAGCCTTCTTCTAGATCCTGGTGATATGGAGCAAAGCATCCTCATTCTCATGGAATTTATCTTTTACTCCAGGGAAACGGACAGTATACAATTTTAAAAAAAACTGTCAGATGTTTATAAATTGTATGAGTCAAAATAAGGTAGTGAGACAGAAGATAGAGAGTAACGTGGGAGCGTGATATTTTACATAGAGGATGAAGGCATCTCTGATAAGAAGATATTAAAGCAGAGACTCAAAGGAAGTGAGAAGATGAGTCACGAGGATATCTGTAGGCAGTAGGGTTTCAAGCAGAGGGATCAGCAGTTGAAAAACAATTAGGCAGAAAGATGCTTGGCATAGTCAATATGTTGGCCATTTGTTCTTTCTTCTGTAAACTACTTGTTTATATGCTTTTTCTATGTTTCCACTGGGGTATTACTTTTTTCTTGTTAATAAATAGGTACTCAATATATTATAGATATTTAATAGGATAGTCATTCTTCACCTTTTATTTATGCTACAAGTATTTTATTTCAGTTTGTTTTTTGACCAGACTTCCATTTATTGTGTTTCTTTTATTGTTCTTGTGAACAGGAGTTTTAAAGTTTTGTGTCTTGTGTCAAGGTTTTCCTCGACAAGGCACTTTGATTTTTCCTGTGAAAATAGGGGTCACGATCCTTCCAGATCAATTACCCTCAACTGCCTTAGTTCTGGCTGCTTCCCCAGCCCTGCTGGTGTTCCTGAAGAAGCTCTTGGACTTGCAGCCATGTCCTAGGAAAGCTGCTGGACCCAGGAACCACCACAAGCAGCCGTCAGCATCTCTAAGACATGGGTCTGCTCCATGAACTCCATAGCTCTATACTGAATTTAAGAGATAAACTTAGAGTGGATGTATTTCTAGGCTATCCTCTGGGACATTCTGAAAACGGTTTAGTAAATTGGTTAGTCATAAATTCTTCCCCATCCCCATATTCCCCAGATTCCATGAAAGTATATGACAGAAGAATGCAGAGCATATTGAGGAACTGACCCCTCAAACCTTTGGAGGACAGACAATTGAAGCGTGGGTTGGAATACTCACTCCTGTATATATTCCAGATCTGGCATAGATCAACTTTGAAATAAATCCCTAGGGCACAGCTCTCAGTTCTGGTCAAGCATTAGAAGCACCTGCATAGCTTTCTGAAAATGCAAACCTGGAACCAAAAAACATTCAAATCCACTAGTCTGAGGTGAGCCCTGGAAACAGTAGTTTTAAAGCCTGTGGGCAATTCTGGTGTACATCCACGGTCAGGAAGCCTGAATACAAACATCAAGTTCACATCTGATCATTTTGCCAATTGTCTATACACATCCACCACATCTGCTCTTACCTACAACTTTAGAGCATTTGAATACCGTGAGCCATTTACACTTCTTTTACAAGAACTTTGAGTGACAAACGTCATGTAAACCCGTGTATGTGCATTTAATTATTCAGTTTTGTAATAATGAAACCCTAAATTTTACCCACCTCCCCGAGAATTAAGGGCCCCTGTGACAACATAGCTGTTCATTGCCTCATATGTATAAGTTTTATTGTTTCTGAATATGAACTTTAACTAGCTTTTGTTCTATTTCTTCCCACTAGTTTTTTATTTTCTCATAAGTAGGAATAATTTCTACTATTTTTTTTTCCATCATAGCATCCAACAAGGTCAAGAACAATACTGGAAGCAGAATGGTGGTTTATAAACATACACCATCTGACCACATGCTCCAGAAATGAGGAAACTGAATAAATCACTATTACTTTTTAAGTGCCAGTTGTCTAAACAGCATAACTAGGTTCTCTATGTACTATCCATAAAAGATGTCTTATTAATTAACAATCATCATAAAAGGACATCAACTCTAAAAACAAAAAAAAAGAGCATCTTTATCTTGAGTACAGTCCTAACTAGAAAGGGAATATCCAACTAGTGTGTTTGGCAAATAAAACACATGGAAATTGAAATATCAGAATGTATAAATAAAGTGATTATTTTTTCTGGAAGATCAAATTTGAGGAGAGTGGGGTAAACACAGGAAACATGTGGAGGACGTCGTTTCTGGCAGCTTTTTCTACTTTTATGACCCTACAAAATCATTGCAGGAGTATGTCATTTCAACCCCAATCACAAGACAGAAAAAAAATACTCTCTGTTGCTCTAACCACCAGACAACTGCAAACCAAGTTTATGATTTTTTCAGGAATCCATGATTCACTTTGAACAAATCAGAGACCGACACAAACTAGCAAGTCTTCTAAGCCACAATGAGACAGAAGTCCACATTTTCAGTCCTCCATTTGAGAAACTGTCTTCCTAAATTCATTGTGAGTACAGTTGGATGCTTTTCTATATTCCCCGTCACACAGCTTTCTACTTACCTCTCCAGCCTTAGTTTCTCCACAGCCCACTCTCTGCCTCCACACACACCCTGCACTCCAGCAGTACTGAGAAAAGCATCACAGCAGCAACACCTGTTTCCTTCCTCCCTCAACTTTCTCAGGAGTCTGTAATTGTATTACTTAGCTCTAGAAAACATTGTGTGGTCAAAATAATGGAAACAAAATGAGATGGAAGGGCTGAAATATATGTGTCAGAACGAGGAAAGTATGTTCCCAATATTATGCCTTCTGCCAATGACTGGCTTTATGGGTACAAAAAGTAGGCCCTTTTCCTGAAGTACAGGGGGCAGCTCTCTGGTGTGGTTTTTGCTACAGAGCCCTTCCCCCTTGGATTAGCAAGGCTAGATCTCACCTGAAACTGCACCGTTGCTCAGCTCAATTTCCTGATTATCCCGCTTCCTTTACAGGTTCTTCCTGAAGCACGCTCCCGACTGAATCACCTGCACCCCAATTACTGCCTCGGGCTCTGCTTCTAAGGAACTTCAACAGCAATAAAGTCAAAGACCCTTAGAAATTTTTCTAGATGTGGTGTGACTGGCTATAATTCCAAGCTTTTTTGGTACTAGCATTTTGTGTCTTTTGAATGTATCACTACATGGAAATGGCCTTTAGTGATAAAGCAAGAAGGGCTGGACTATTGATATTAAAATGAACTTCCCTGAGTGCCATCAAATTATCTTACCTTTTCTCTCCTTCTTACACGCTGTTCCCCACGGTTAGAACAATTTTCAGCTTATTTTTTGTCTAGAAAATTTTAACTTATCCTCAGTTTAGATTCCTTTAAGGAGCCCTCCCAGATCTCTCCCCACCCTGCCTTCCAAAATTTATGTTAGGTGTCTCTCATGTAGTCCTGTAATACAGTACATTCTCTAGACATGATAGATTATACACCCAGGAAGGAGATGGAATGAGTCTATGTTGGTCATTTCTGAATTCCCGGAATCTAACATCACACATGACGCACGCTAGGCATCCAATTTTAAATTTTAAATTTTAAATTAAAAAATGAGGGAATGTGTAAATGCTAACAAAATGGAAGGTATGTTGAGTGGTATTATTTATTCTGTGATACCTAGAAAGGGCTTGGGTATGATACGGGCTTGCGGCAGTTTTTCTTAACAGCTGGACAACTATTCTCTACTCTATCTCTGCTCTCTCTAACTTATTTTACCCTGTCATCTTTCCAAAATGGTGCTGGAGTTGGGTGTGGTGCTCCTTGTTGCATTTGGAGAGATCTTGAATTATCATCATTAGACTGTATGCTGCTCAACAGAACGGACTGTGTCTTATTCACCTCTTTATTCTAAAACCCTAGCACAGTGCTTGGTACACAGAAGATATGCAAGAAATGTTGAATAGGCAAAGGAATTTCATTTCTGGAGCCAGATACATTCATTATGAATAAACTTCTGGTGGAATAATAGACATTGGAGACTGGAAGAGGTGGAAGGTGGAAGGGGGGTGAGGAATAAGAAATTACCTAATGGGTACAATGTACACTAATTGGGTGATGGTTACACTAAATTCCCAGATTTCACCACTATGAAATGTATCAGTGTAACAAAACTGCACTTGTACCCCCAAAATCTATAAAGATAAATTAAATTTTAAAAAGAATAAACTTTTGAACCTGACTTTCTCACCTACACTTCTCATTGTTAACATTGCACTGACCTTCCTCTAGAATCCACTGACTCTCCTCTTCTATTGCCAGTCACATCTCCATGCTTGCAGATATGCTGCTTCCTTGATGGAGAACACTTTCCCTATCTCTTCCGGGCACCCAAATCCCGCAGAGTCCACTGAAGTCTTCAGTTGATTCACAAGGCTTTCCCAGACTCCTCTAGCTCTTGTTGACATTCTTCTCCATTGGATTTCATAAAACTAAAAACCACAGAAATGCTGTCATCTCCTCTAGGGCAAAAGTTCTGCCTTAGACACTGGGAATGCAGAGATAAATAACACAGTGCCCAGAGCATAACTGGCGTTCAATAAATGTTTTTGGAGTTTTTAATAAGTTAGGATAGTGGAGTGGATGTGAGCCAAAAATTCTTTCATCAATTCCTGCAGTCGAGACCTAACTTTTAAATTAGAGGAGAGCAGTTTGGGTCTGGACAAACTGCTCTTCTCTAATTTAAATTGCAGTTCTATTCAGTGGCAGTTAGTGTAAAGAAGTTTACAAATATAACTAATGCAGTGAGAAACAGAATACACTATTAACATTCAAAGGCCAGGGTTATTTTTTTCACAAGAAGAGGTGTCAACGTTATGTTAACTTGAAAAACATGAGTTTCTGATTTAGAATCAATGGGAATTTCAGAAGAGAAATAATTCATATTGTGGTGAAGTGTGTTTGATTTTGGATACTATAAGAAGAGAACAATTGTAACCCGGAGATGAAGCCTTCCCACTCTTTCCTGCCCTTCTCCATTAGCCATAGTTCTCCCCATTCCTCCTCAAAATATCAAGCACTGGGACCAGAACCCACTCTTCTCCTCAAAAGCATTTACAGTTGGCAATTGGCAGAAGCCATGATATGTTCAGAAGCCAATAAGGAAAGAAAGTAGCAAGTAGTGTGAAGAGGATAGGTGCTTCCTGGGAAAAGGGAGGGGCTGAGGAAAACTGACAGGGAAAAGCCTAACAATAAGAAACGCTGGCTGTGAAAGAAAGTGTCTGGAGTTGAAGGCACATCCATGTGGAACACCTTCGGAGTTCTATGTCAAGATCACGACTTATTCTCCTTCAAGAGGCAGAAAGGTGCTGGAGTCTCCAGCAAATTAGAGGAGGCTTGCATAGCCTACAGGCATTTAAATTAAAAAAAAAAATTCCGAATGCAAGTTTGCAACTCTCAGTCCAGGCAGTGAAACTTGTTCTTCGTGTTACTCAGAGAAATACGCTCAATCTGCTCCAAACCTTGGGCTCTTGTGTGGCTTCAAGAATATTATCTAAACCCCTCAGTGAATATCACTGGAGAAGAAGTGGGCAAAGCAGTGCCTGGAGTAGGAGCAAGTACTTCATTACCTGCACCATGAAGGTCAGCCAATGGGTATTAACAGCACCTTGGGCTGGGCACAGTGGCTCATGCCTGTAATCCCAGCACTTTGGGAGGCTGAGGTGGGTGTATCACCTGAGGTCAGGAGATCGAGACCAGCCTGGTCAACATGGTGAAACCCTGTCTCTACTAAACATACAAAAATTAGCCAGGTGTGGTGGTGGGCGCCTGTAATCCCTTCTACTTGGGAGGCTGAGGCAGGAGAATTGTTTGAACCTAGGAGGCAGAGGTTGCAGTTAGCCAAGATCATGCCATCGTACTCCAGCCTGGGCGACAGAGGGAGACTCCATCTAAACAATACACACACACACACACACACACACACACACACACACACACACACACACAAAATAGCACCTTGATGTTGTATTACTGCAGTGAAGAAACAGCCACCTATAAACAGGACCTAAGAGAAAAACAGATATGATCTATACTGTGACTTTCTGTCTAACAGAGGTTAGCTTCAAACACATTTAGTACCCCAAAAATCTGGGTTCAAGTCTTGGCTAGGCTACACACTAGCTGTGTGCCTTTGGGCAAATCATCGGATCTCTCTTAGCCTCAGATGTTCAGATATAATCTGAATGTTTGGACTGGAAGGTCCCTCAAATTCCCTTCAACTCTAAAAGTTAATGACTTTTGATCAACTTTAATTATTATAAAGTTGTGTTTAACAAGCAAAAATCTCAACTGTAACTTCTCCCAGTATTCTGTATAGCTTTTAAGAGCAGAAAGTGTGCTAAATTATTTGCCCTATTACTATATTCTCCTAGTCAACCACCTCTCACACAAGGATGCCATTGTTTCACTCATTAGAAAAGTAGTAAAGACTCTGTCAAGGGACTTTCCTATCATCCAAACACATGTATGAAATACCCTTGAATAAGCAACCCAAAAAGTTTTTCAAAAAAATGCAAAATGTTTATTTAAAGTATGGTTCGTTCGTAGTTGAGATATCTTCTATTGATAATAACTTCATTTTTAAGTGTTAGTAATGGTAACAATAATAATAATACAATACCTAATCTTATAGAGCACTTATTATGTGGCTGGAATCTTCTACATGCCTTAAGAGAATTTAGTGTTTATAACATCCTTATAAGACTGATATTAAGAGTATTCTAATTTTACATGAGGCAACTGAGGCATAGAGGTTATATAACTTGCCAAAAGCCATATAGCTGGTAAGTGGTAGAGCCAGCAATCAACCAAGTCAGTCTGGCATTGCCTGATCATATTCTAGAATTTTGCTGAAAATCATCAAGTTTGGTATCTAGACTATAATGTCTGTAATTTATGTTTCCAAGTAATTATTTAGTGTTCCACATCTCCAGAAGTTTGACACTTCCGTTTTCTGCAATTCTTCAAATACTTCTACATCTGTACCTTTCTCCAAGACCCTTAAATGAGTGAAGTGTTGTCTTCTGGGCTCTTTTACCCTTTCCAATTATAAGGTCCTTGTTGGACATCAATTTTCATAGAATTAGAAAAAAAATCCTAAAATTCATGTGGAACCAAAAAGAGCCCAAATAGCCAAAGCAATCCTAAGCAAAAAGAACAAAGATGGAGGCATCATAATACCTGACTTCAAAGTATGCTGCAAGGCCATAGTAACCAAAACAGCATGGTACTGGTATACAAATAGACACATAGATCAATGGAACAGAATAGAACACCCCAAAATAAAGCTGCACACCTACAACCAACTGATTTTCCACAAAGTTGACAAAAATATACAATTGGGAAAGGACTCCCTATTTAATAAATAGTGCTGGGAAAATTGGATAGCAATATATAGAAGAATGAAACTAGCCCTGTATCTCTCACCATATACAAAAATTAACTCAAGATGGATTAAAGACTTAAATGTAAGACCTGAACCTATAAAAATCCTAGGAGAAAACCTAGAAGAAACTCTTCAGGACACTGGCCTAGGCAGAGAATTTATGACTATGACTTCAAAAGGAAATGCAACAAAAACAAAAATAGACAAACAGGACTTAACTAAACTAAAAAGCTTCTGCACAGCAAAAGAAATAATCAGCAGGGTAAACAACCTACAGAATGAGAGAAAATATTTGCAAACTATGCATTCAACAAAGGACTAATATTCAGAATCTATAAGGAACTCAACAACTCAACATGCAAAAAACAAATAATCCCCTTAAAAACTGGGTAAAGGACATGCACAGACATTTCTCAAAAGAAGACATACAAGCAACCAACAAACATATGAAAAAATGCTCAACATCACTAGTCATCAGAGAAATGCAAATTAAAGCCTCAATGAGATACGATCTCACACCAGTCAGAATGACGATTATTTAAAAGTCAAAAAACAACAGATGTTGGTGAGAATGTGGGGAAAAGGGAATGCTTATACACTGCTGGCGGGAATGTAAATTAGTACAACCTATATGGAAAACAGTATGGAGATTCTCAAAAAACTAGAAATAGAGCTGCCATTTCACCCAGCAATCCCATTCCTGGTTACATACTCAAAGAAAAAAGAATTATTATATAAAAAAGACACCTGCACTTTCATGTTTGTCACAACGCTATTCACAATAGCAAAGATATGGAACTAATTTCAGTGTCCTATAAAGGATGATTAGATAAAAAATGTGGTATATATACACCATGGAATATTACACGGCCATAAAAAGAATGAAATCCTATGTTTTGCAGCAACATGGAAAATGGAGCTTGAGACCATTATCCTAATGAAAAAACTCATAAACAGAAAATCAAATACTTCATCTTTTCACTCATAAGTAAGAGCTAAAGAATGGGTACACATGGACACAAAGAAGGAAACAATTGACATTGGAGACTCCAAAAGTGGGGAGAGTGGGATGGGGGGAGGGTTGAAAAGTAACCTATTTGGGTACAATATTCACTATTCGGGTGATGGGTACAATAGAAGCCCAAACCCAACCACTACATTGTCATCTATCCATGTAACAAACTTCCACTTTACCCTTTGAATCTATAACAATATTTTTTTTTTAGAAAATGATCCCTGTTGGAGATTAATGAATTATAAGGGAGAAGAAATGTCAAGCTGTCTATATGTCATTTGCAACCCCAGGCTTGGGTCACACCCTCTTTATCCTTCCCTAATTCCCAAGCACTTTTGCAAGTCTTTTGCACTTTCATTAAATATTCTACTAAACTCCAGTTCCTCCTGGCATTTGCTTTGCTACGTTTTTGTGTTTATTATGTCTTACTTGCCTCTGATTATTCAACAAATATTTATTGAGTGTCTGCTGAGCCATTATAACAGTCTTTGGAGGATCACAGACTAAAATGGCACAGCTCCTGCCCTTGTACAGTTTAGTAATAGGAAAAAAAAAAACTCACTTGGAAAATAATGGTGAGACTGAAAATATCTTTTTTTCTATTTTACAGGTGAACAGAAGTTCTTCTTGCCCCATCTTGAAATCTCACTTCCAGATTCATCCTAACTTTCTTCCCTCTTCTCACCTGAAGAATTGTTAGTCCTCCTCCCCTTTAAGGTTCATTCTTTCATCACTGGAAAGCAATACACCGAAATGTTAAGATGCAATACTACGAAGATTTTTACTTTCTTCCTTTTAATTATATATATATTAAGCATATTTTTTTTACAATGAGTAGAGGCTTTTTCGAAATGTTTAGAGCCTATCCTGTCTAGAATGTGTCCTGGACTAGCTAACATTCTCTTCATGCCAAATTCGATGTCTAGAAGCAATGCTGAGGGAGCTGCCTCTCTTGGGGGTACATATTTCTGCCCAAGGCCAAATTCATGCTATTCAAGTTCTCCTTGCACTTAAATCATGTCAGATTGAGGAAATTGTCCAATTTTCTTAGAACTTGTTCTGCCACTTTCTGACATCTTTCCATTAGGTCATTTTCTTTCACTAGCTCATATTTGTCCACATGTTTTGTGAGCTTAGCTCATAGCTTTTTATAGCATAGATTGTGTTCATGTTATCACTGTTATTTAGGACATAACAGATCTTTTTCCCCTTATCTGATCTTTTTTGTTTCTTATTACAGTCCATTGAAAATTCCAAATTCTGGAGATAGTAACCAAATATTTCTAGAGTTCATTATACAGAAATAGCAAAAGTAAGTCAATGAAAATATGTAAATTGTGCTTTGAAGCTGAGCAATGTGACACCAGAAGTCCAGTATTAATCTGACCCTTCCCCGGCTAAATTTATACCTGGATTGTTCTCTATGGGTCCTGCAATTTGAAGGTACGATTCTTGGGTCTACTGGCTTACTTTTAGGCGACTTATATTAAGTCACCTAAAATCCCTAGGTAAGGAAATGTACTCCTGCCCACCTCACAGTCTCAATTATTATTTTTTTAATGTGAGAAAGTAACATAATATTTCAAAAATGTTAATTATTGCTCTTGGCTTCCATGTATTTTTGTTCTTAAAAGTCCAACAATTTTGCTCTACAATCTGCTTTATCTCACAATTCATATTGGCAGTCTTTTCTGGAAAAATCTTTGAAGAAGTTACACCTTTTAAAAGCTGATTTTCTTTTTTTAATTTTGTCATAAATCCATCTTTTTACTCAGAAAAAGAATCATAGAATATTAGTTAGAAGGAACTTTGCAGATCCTCTTGTCCAAGGATCCTCTTCTCCTGAGGAAACTGAAGCCTAAGATGGTACCTGATGGTCAAAAGTAGAGCTGGCTTCTTAGTAGCCTTCCTCCTGTCAACAGAGCACAGAGCACATAATCAAAACCCTGAAATCTGCCCCCACACTCTATATTGAACAGAAGGATACAGCTCATTCAATAAAAGGAAAACTAGTTTGTCTATTGTTATTTTTAACGTGAAAATTAAAACATGTATATTTATCATGCATAACATTCTGTTTTCAGATATGCATACATTGGCAGGGCAAACTGGCTCACGCCTGTAATCCCAGCACTTTGGAAGGCCAAGGTGGGTGGATCACCTAAAGTCAGGAGTTCAAGACCAGCCTGACCAACATGGTGAAACCCAGTCTCTACAAAAATACAAAAAATTAGCCAGGCCAGGCATAGTGGTGGGCGCCTGTAATCCCTGCTACTTGGGAGGCTGAGGCAGGAGAATCGCTTGAACCCAGGGGGCGGAGGTTGCAGTGAGTTGAGATTGATCATGCCACTGCACTCCAGCCTGGGCAACAAGAGCGAAACTCCGTCTCAAAAAAAAAAATATGCATACATTATGGAATGACTACATAAAGCTAATTAATCTATTATCTTTTTAATAAATTTGTGATAAAGCTTCCTTTCATACATGTACACTTACACAAATATATGTAGACATATATAAATATATGCACACTTAGACATATATATGTATATACAGACTTTTTTTTCACAGATTTCTTCAGCTCCAATGCCAATAAAATATCCCAAGCCCAATGAGCTAGGAGGAAAAAATAGAAAGAAAGCTTGTTGCAAGATTTAGGAACACCCAAAATTGTTGGATGATAAAGAAGAGTAGGAGGGAGTAAACTGAAGAGAAAGTTAATAAAGCAAGCAGACTATGGGATTGAAGGGACCATGACTTCCAAAGTTTTTCTATCTTCTCGGAAAATGCTATTAATGCCATAAGTTGCATCAGAACAGCTTATCAAAAAGCAGAGTTAGGCCCGGCACGGTGGCTCACGCCTGTAATCCCAGCAATTTGGGAGGCTGAGATGGGTGGATCACATGAGGTCAGGAGTTCGAGACCAGCCTGGCCAACATGGTGAAACCCCGTCTCTACTGAAAACACAGAAAATTAGCCAGGCATGGTGGCACAGGCCATGTACTAGGGAGGCTGAGGCAGGAGAATAGCTTGAGCCCGGGAGGCAGAGTTGGAGTGAGCCGAGATGGCACCACTGTACTCCAGCCTGGTCGACAGAGCAAGGCTTTGTCAAAAAAAGAAAAAAGAGAGAGAGAGAAAAAAAGCAGAGTTAATTGGAAGTACTGTTTTTAAAGGCATCCATTCATTTGATGCTCTACTCTGTAGCCTGGCATGTCAGAAAAAAAAGGCCTAAATTGCTCATCAGTGCAGGATATGACCCAGCTAAAGCATGCCTTACACACATACACATTAAGTATGTAACTTTAATAACACCTCACTCTTCTCTGGATCTTGATTTTAGGAGAAGGCTCTTTGTGGGAGATTTAGTGAAGTGTGTTGGAGATTGACACCCCCAAAATTCAATGTAAGGGTAAAGGGAAAGTCTTTTAAAAATTGGCTAAAATATTTGGAAACTGAAAATATTTGCCAGCAACAATTCAGTTATCAAAAGACTACAAATTGAAGACTTGGAATCTTTTGATCATCACCTTGCCTGCCTTCAGCCTCATTTCATCTTACAGATTTTCCTCTGAACCAGTTATGCAGAGATGAAATAAATACTCACAATGCCTTTATTAGTATAGAGTCTTTATGGTCTCAAAACTCTAACTACTTTTATGGGTTGTATCATTGCATTTTTACTTCTTAAATATTGTCTTATACTTCTTTACGTCCGCATTAGAGTCTTGAGAAGAAACACCCAAGTTAAAAGTTTAATAAATAAATGCCAGATCATTTCTAGATGTATATATTTTTTCTCAGAGTTTGATTCTGCATTTCATTTTCCCAAATCCAAATATTTTTACATCTTTTCCACATAAATACATCTTAGAAACTTCAAATGCATTACGGCTGAAATTCAATTTACAGTTATTTTCTGCCCTGCTGCCAAATGTTCTTCTTTGCCTGTGTTCCCTAACATAGAAAATTGTTCCCTATATATTTATTTATGACACAGAACTTAAAAATCATCCCTGAGCTTCCCTTCCTCCTACCCTGAACCCATCAGTTCCATCTTTAGTCCTGCCTGTTCAATTTCTAGAACATTTCTTACATCCATCCAACTCTTTGCATTGCCTAGTGTCATCTCCCTCCTGTAGTACCGTGATAACCTCCTAACTGATTTTCTCATTCATTCTCATTTCACCCCTTACTTCCCAGGCTCCTTCTTCAGGCACTGATTAGAGATATCTAGCCAAAATATAAACATGACGAAGGCATTCACCACTTCACACCATTCTACAAGTTCCTATTGCTCTTATGACAAGATTTTAAATATTTCACATGGCTTTTTAGTCTCTTTATATGTTCCCTGCTCTCATTATAAAACTTTCTGTTGTTTAGTTTCCATATCTATAAAATGGGGATAATAATAGTATATACCTTCCAAGATCATTATAAGGATTCAATATTTGTAAAGAACTTACAGCTCTTCTTGGCAGAGAGTAAATACTATACACATGTTTATTAAATGAATAAATTAATACATCTCATCTTGAGCTGTTCTTCCCTTATTTAATTTTCTCTACTGTTTTGACTCCCTTCTAATTTCAAGCTTAGTCTCCCCTTAGCAACTCTACCCAAGTTTATTTCTCTACTGGGAATTCTTCTCCCACCTCATCCTTGTTATCTCCACCCATTCTTTCTTTGGTGCCCAGTTTAAAAAGGAAAGCTTTTCTTGACACCTCACTCTCCAGACTAAATTATTTCCCCCAGTACACACTCTTATAGCACCCTTTACATTTTCTGTAGAGGATTTATCACAATTCTAATTATTCGTGTGATTTTCTGCCTAGTGCTCTTATACCTAGACAGACTAGATGCCCCAAGATGCAAGCACTAGGATTGGATTTGTGTTACTTATGTTCTAACCCCAGCATCAAGTACAATATCTAGCATGTGGTAGGTTGCCCCCAAATATTTGGTAAATAAATGAATGAATGAATAATGAATGATGTCACAACTCTCCACCCATATACACTATACTGTTCCCTTTGAGTTTCGTAGATACCATGGAGAAAAAAGACAGTGTAGTCTTATCAGTTTATGAAAGACGGATATACTAAAATGGAGTTTTAGATACTCTGTTGAGTGCCTCTGTACAGTTTGACTATCTGGTTAAAGGTGCCTAAGCATGAATATTTACACTCAGGGATTATTATTCTCCCTCAAGTTTTGTCTCAAAAGAAATAGCAAAAGTAATGAATTCCCAGACCAGTGATGAATTTTCTTGCCATAAAGAAGGAGTCCCAATAAGGACATTTTGCTTATAATGCTCTCTTGTTACCAGTCACTTTACAATGAGTTGAAAAACTTCCTAAAGAGGCAGGTGCTTCTTTCAGGGTCTCCAACTGACCAAAGCCCCTTTTCCAGATGTGAGGCCTCAAAATAGCAGAGGAAATCATTCCCACAGCACTTAGCTGCTAGGCATATATAAGACTAAATTGTAGTCCTATAGAACAGTGAGAAATGTTTGCTTTCAACTATTTTAGATTTTAATAACCCTCTGTCTCTAAGGGAAAAGTGCAGTTAAATAACAACCAATGAAGGAGCTAAAAAAAAACATACTTGCAACCACCCCCTTAAAAAAAAAGCATCTATTCATTTCTGCACTTGCTTGTATGTCCTGAAATATCTCAGCCTTGGATTGGGTGATTTATGAAGGGATCAGCTCGACCGTGAGCCAAACACTCTCCTTGTAGCAAGCCAGGAGTATAACCACTTTCACAGCAGCAGGGTGTCTTGACATTATGAGGCAAATTACCTCCTCATGGATACCAAGTGGTACCAGGAAAAAGTAATTTACCCTCTTCAGGTTACACACGCACAGAGGATAAAGCACTCACCTAGATCAGCAAATTACTTTTTTCTTATCATTATGAAACGCCATCCTGACACTGTGTTCCCTGCCCTGGTCCATCAGAGGGCTGGCTTTTATCATTCATTTTTGTATTCTTCTTTCCTTTCAGATGGGAGCTAGGAAAAGAACTCAGTGACAAAATGAAGCAGGCTGCTTCTATTGAAAATCAAAGGCCATGACTCAATGGAGTAATACTGGTTCTGTTATTCCTCTGATTTGTGTCCCTAAAACACAGACTGTATCTATACTAAAGAAAAAAGTGCATTTCCAAAGGTGGAGCAGATCAGCAAGATGCAAACACGTTCAACTGGCTGATTTGCAGTCACTAGGAACAGTCTGAAAATAAACATTTTGAATGGCATTTCTTACAACTTGTTTACTAAGCTCCATGGCATTAACTTGAGAGTTTAATTTTGCAATGGCTCTGCATCCCCTTGTGAGATGGAGGGGATGACATTTTCCAGGAGATCCGTGAGTTCTTTTCCGTCATGAGGGCATCATGTTATGTCCTCAAAAACTCAATTTCATAAGTCATCTTTTGTATCTTCCAAGAGTTAATGTGACCGCCCTCCTCACAAATGACTCACTCTCTTTTCATCAACAGAGACAGGTGTGCCACAGATTTGATTACATCAAAAATAAGCACTCACTAAAGATAGAATGTTTACAGAATTAAAGACAGGAGAAAAGATTAGACATATATCAAGATGGGCAGGTATAAAAATACACAAGGGTGTCCTGACCCTTAATGGTTTTCATGGAAGAATTAAAAGGCAGTGATTTTTGTGATTTGTTTTCTTTTCTTTTCTGGGAATGCTGCTGTATTAATTGAAAGAAATAAGACATGGACCAAAAGCCTTCATATATACAATTATTACTTTGGTAATATAATTTTGCCCCTAAGCTTTATTTGTTTTTAAATAAGGCCTGTGTTTTTAGCCATGAAAAATTAAGATTTAAAAAGTAAAAAATACAAATAAAAACTTACAAATACAACATTTAAAATGTGAATTTTTTCTAAATTAATAACATGTTAAACTAATCCTTTGAAGGAACAGGAAACTAAGGGAAAAATAGTGTGAAATTATGCTGTTGTAAGTACATGAGACACAGCACCTTCAATGTAATCTGGAGGGACTGTTCATTTCCCCTTGGATCCCACAGACAAAGAGAAACCCAGAAATAGAAGGGGTCTTAGAGTAATCTTATATTTTGCAACTACATATTGTACCTCTGCTCTTGTTAGATTCACACAATCTATCTAGTCCCCCACCAAACTCTATCAACACAATTATTTGGCTAGTGAATTTTAGACTCCTTAAATATAGCACATGTAATATCAGACATGGAAGAGAGAAAGACGGGAGGTGGGCAGAGAGAGAGAGACAGAGAGAGAGATAAACAAGGCAGAAATGAAAAAAGAGGTGGATTTGAAAGGATGTACACTCCCTTTTCCCTTGGGAGTCTGGCCCACCACATGCTCCATTTCTTTTTGGAAGGCTCAGGTTCCCTCTTCACTTTTTTTTTTTTTTCTTCTTGAGATGGAGTGTAGCTCTGTCGCCCAGGCTGGAGTGCAGTGGCCCCTCTTCACTTCTAAGCAAGTGCTAATAACATTTGCAAGTCGCTTTTGCATTTCTTTTCTACATTCCTTTTTTTCATTTCTATTTCAATTTTATTGTATGAAATACACATTAAAACTGTATGTATTATACAACCATCATATTTGCATCTCCTTCCCCCAGGAAGACTTGGGTTTTATATATTTATTAATTTATTCATTTGCGCACTCAAACATTTATACAGAGAATATTATCTACTGGAAATTGTATTATGTGATGGGGTTGCACACTGAATAAGACATAGTTGTTCTAGTTCCAACACATACAGTAAGCCTACAGACAGAAAGTTATATTGTGAATATACAAGTTAGCAAGGAACAAAAAAGGACAGCACTATTTTATTTTTTCAAAGCTCTTCTGAGTTGACATAGATGAACAACAATAGGATAAGAGACTTCTGCTTCTGGTCAAGATGGAGGGATAGCGAGTGCATTTACCTCTTTGTCTGAAAAAAACCAAATGCTTGACTTACTATGTAAAACAATGGTCCCAATCATTGAATATCAGGCAGTGAAGGACAGAAACTGGGAACAAATAAGGTGAGCCCTACAAATTCCTCAGCTTAACTGCTTTGAGATAATTTCTAAGATACAACAGAGGGAGGTAGGAACCTAGGCAGAGCCTGGTAGACTCTCAGAGTTGAGAAGTTGGCATGAGAGTCCAGAAATACCAAAGTAGCTGGAATTGGCAAGACAGAGTACTGAGGAGGAGAAGGCTGCACAGAGAACAATAGAGACCTCTGTAGGGTCCCCTTGAGCATTCAGCAGCATATTGATAAATTTATGTATGTTTGAAAACTACTCAAAGCAGTAGGAAAAAGAAAAAAAAATAACATCCAAAAGGTTTAGAAGCAACAGTGCTGAGTACTCATACAAGGACAAGAGATAGTGCCTTTTCCTGCCAGCCGGATCAGAAAACCTCATTCATGGAGCACTGGGTAGAGTACAAGAAGTGTCTCGCCTCAGCAGGGGCATGATTAGTGCTAAATAAATCACCACTCTGAGCCCACCTAATAAATTTTAAAAGCAAGACCAAAAAAGATCAAACCATTTGCAAGTAACTTAACTGCACTCACAGCAAAGCTCAAGAACATTAGTAGTAATACAAAAATATCTAGCATCCAAAAAGGTAAAATTCACAATGTCAGGTAGCTGATTAAAATTGGCAAGAATGCAAAGAAATAAACAAATACAAATCATAAAGAAAAAAATTCAATCAATCAAAACAACCAGAACTGGCACAGATGTTTAAAGCAGTAGACAAAGACATTAAATGAGTACTTTATGTATTCCATATGTTTAAGATGCTAAGTAGCAACATGGAAAATATAAAAAATTAAAAACTTACCTTCTAGGAATGAAAATTAGTGTCTGAAATGAAAAATACACCAGATAGGAATAATGGCAGATCGGGCATTGCAGAGGAATGGATTAATGAACTTGAAATAGAAGTAGAAATTACTAAAAATTAAACACAGAAAGAAAAACAAAAACAAAAAAGCAGTGATCTATAGAAAACTTCTAGCAGCCTAATATTATGTAATTGCTAGTCCTTGAAGGAGAGGAATCAGCTGAAAAAGTATTCAAGTACATGAAGGCCAAATTTTCCTATATCTAATGAAAACGATAAGAAGCTTGATGAACTGCAAGAAGACAAAACACAATGCAAACTACACCAAGGTATAAGATAATGAAAAGTCTCAAAACTAAGATAAAGAGAAAATTTGAAAAGCACCCAGAGATTAATTTTTCTAAGACCTCTTATATATAAAGGAATAAAAACAGAAATAACAGCAAATTCCTTGAGATTTATGCAGGTTTTCTGGTTCTCCATTATTTCTCAATAAGTTAATAAAATAAATAGAAAGATGAGTCATGTCAGTGTTGAAAACTGTTGGGGCTGGAGGTTTATAGACCTAGATTTGAATCCTAGCTCTCCTACTTAATAACAGTAGGTTGGGAATTTTCTGAAATATTTTTTCTTAATTATGAAAATGGTAATAATACTAACCCACTTACAAGATTGACATTGGATTAAATGAGATAATACATGACAAAAGCACTTGTGAATCATAAACCATTATAAAACAAAACACATCATAGATATATTAGTAGATAGATGATAATGATACATAGATAAATAGATGTATAGTTCATCATTACTCTAGTGACATTACAGATTCTAACCCATTTTAATTAATAATCTTGCCCAAATGTTATTACTAATAATAATTTAACAAAAATAGGTTATCCTTTGAGTGTAATATGTTTGCAATATTTACAATCAATAAATCCATTTGTGTAAGATTATTATTAACATTTTTTGGATTATAAATAGGGTAAAAAGCTATGATTTTCTTCCCAGAAGAATGTACTACACATGTACAAGTTTTATTTTTTATTTATTTTCTTTCCAACTTTTATTTAGGTTCAAGGGGTACATGTGCAGGTAAATTCTGTGTCACAGGGGAGTACAGATGATTTTATCATCTAGGTAATCAGCATACTACTGATAAGTAGTATTTCAATCCTTGCCCTCCTTCCCACCTTCCACCCTCGAATAGGCTCCAGTGTCTACTGTTTCCTTTGCTGTGTCCATGGGTACTCAATGTTTAGCACCCACTTATAAGTAAGAACATGTGATATTTGGTTTTCTGTTCCAGTTAATTTGTTTAGGATAATGGCTTCCAGCTACAACCATATTGCTACAAAGGCCATGATCTCATTTTTTATAGCTATGTAGTATTACATGGTGTGTATGTATCACATTTTCTTTATCCAGTTAATCGCTGATGGGCATTTAGGTTGACTCCATATCTTTGCTATTGTGAATAGCGCTGCAGTGAACATATACCTTCATGTGTCTTTATGGTAGAACAATTTATAATCCTTTGGTTATATACCCAGTAATGGGATTGCTGAGTTGAATGGTAGATGGTAGTTCTATTTTATATTTTTTGAGAAATTTCCAAACTGCTTTCAACAGTGGCTGAACTACTTTAGTTTCCCACCAACAGCGTATAAGCATTGCCTTTCCTCTGCAACTCAGCCAGCATCTGTTGCCTTCTGAAAATTTTAAAAATAGCCATTCTGACTGGTGTAAGATGGTATCTCATTGTGGTTTTAATTTGCATTTCCCTAATAATCAGTGATATTGAGCCCTTTTTCATATGCTTGTTGGCCATGTGTATGTCTTCTTTTGAGAAGTATCTGTTCATGTCCTTTGCCCATTTTTAATAGGGTTGTTTTCTGCTTGTTGACTTGTTTGAGTTCCTCATAGATCCTGGATGTTAGACCTTTGTCAGATGCATAGTTTGCAAATACTTTCTCCCATTCTGTAGGTCGTCTCTTTACTCTGCTGTAGTTCCTTTGCTGTGAAGAAGCTCTTTATTTTAATTAGCTCCCACTTATCAATTTCTGGTTATTTTCTCCCATTCTGTAGGTTGTCTCTTTACTCTGTTGTAGTTCCTTTGCTGTAAAGAAGCTCTTTATTTTAATTATCTCCCACTTGTCAATTTCTGGTTTTGTTGCAATTGCTTTTAAAGTCTTTGTCCTTTAGTCATTGTCTTGGCTGAGCCCAGAATGGTATTCCCCAGATTTTATCCTAGGGTTTTTATATTTTTACATTTTACATTTTGCTCGTTAATCCATCCTGAGTTGCTTTTCGTACGTGGTGAAAGGTAGGGGTCCAGTTTTATTCTTCTGCATATGTTTACCCAGTTATCCCAGCAGCATTTATTGAACAAGGAGTACTTTCCCTATTGCTTGTTTTTGTTGGCTTTGTCAAAGATCAGATGGTTGTAGCGTGCAGCTTTATTTATGGGTTCTTTAATCTGTTCCATTGGTCTATGTGTTTGTTTTTGAACCAGCCATGCTGTTTTATTTACTGTAGCCTTACAGTACAGTTTGAAGTCAGGTAGTGTGATGCCTTCAGGTTTGTTCTTTCTGCTTAGGATTGCTTTGGCTATTCCAGCTCTTTTTTGGTACCAAATGAATTTTAGAATTTTTTTTTCTAATTTTGTGAAAAATGTCATTGGTAGTTTGAAAGAAATAGCATTGGACCTGTAAATTGCTTTGGGCAGTATGGCCATGTTAACAATGTCAATTCTCCTTATTCATGAGCAGGAAATGTTTTTCCATTTGTTTGTGTCATCTCTGATTTCTTTCAGCAGTGTTTTATAGTTCTCATTGTAGAGGTCTTTCACCTCACTAGTTAGCTGTTTTCCTAGATATTTTGTTGTTTTTGTGCCTATTGTGAATGGGATTACAGTCATGATTTGCCTCTCAGCTTAGATGTTATTGGTATATAGAAATGCTACTGATTTTTGTACATTGATTTTGCATTCTAAAATTTTGCTGAAGTTGTCTATCAGATTTATGAGCATTTGGGAAGAGACTATGGGGTTTTCTGGGCATAGTATCATATTGTGTCTGAAGAAAGATAGTTTGACTTTCTCTTTTCCTATATGGGTGTCTTTTATTTCTTTCTCTCGCCTGGCTAGGACTTCCAGTAGTATGTTGAATAGGAGTGGTGAGAGTGAGTGTCCTTGTCTTGCTCCAGTTCTCAAGGGGAATGCTTCTAGCTTTGCCTGTTTGTTATGATGTTGACTCTGTGTTTGGAGTAGATGTCTCTTATTATTTTGAGTTATGCACCTTCAATACCTAGTTTGATGAGGGTTGTTAGAAGGGATGTTGAATTGTATTAAAAGCCTTTTCTGTATCTACTGAGATAATCATGTAGTTTTTGTTTTTATTTCTGTTTATGTGATGAATCATTTATTGATCTGCATATGTTGAGCCAGTCTTGCATCCCGGGAATAAAGTCTACTTGATTGTGGCAGATTAGCATTTTGATGATTTACACATTTTACATACTATTTTGGGGGTTTATGGACTCCTTGTAGCCCATCCAATTTAGAGACTTTAATATGGTAATATAGTGAATTTTTATAATTATATGTTGGCTCAGCATGCATTTTGAATATAAATTAGAATTTATCACAACAGAATCAAGTTTTACTAACCCTTGACAAAGTTTCCAGTTCTCCACCTCTCCCAGTTCTTCAATGTGATTGATCCAGATTATATGCCTTATACAAACACCTTCTGGTGACCACATCCCTGTGGAAAGATAGATACAACCTACTTGACTTGTCCAACTGACCCTCACACCCCACATGGGATGCACAGAGGTGCCACAGTGACCACCTTTCAGTCACAGCATGATTCCAAGGAACTCATGCCTGCTTGTTGTAAACCCACCAATTAGAACTGCCCTTGGGAATCCTGCTTAAGTAAAACCCTGTAAAGGATTGGCCCACTGATTTCTCACTCTTTCTCTCTTGCTCTCCATGCAGTGGTTGGGTGTGCATATCCCCAGTGACTCCCCACTTGCTGTTAGCCCTGTGAGGCTTGCTACCCTCTTTTCTCTCGGATCTATAAGTAATAACGCTGCTTCTGTTACTTCATGTGTTTTGTTGAGTTGCCTCTTCTGCGTCTCACCTGATGGATACCCCTGAATCTAACTCTCCTCCCAATCAGAGCTATCTCAGAGAGTGGTTATCTTGGTAGGAATAAACTGAACACAGGTCAGACAAGAGCCACAGGGCATCTGCCAGTACAAGCAAATTTTCTGTGAGGGGAATTCCTGGTCACAGATGAGACACTAAGGCATGAGAACACCTACCAGGATAAAGAAGCAACATCCATGACTACCTTATCTGGAGCCTCATCAGGGCACGTCGAGAGTTTATTGCCAATCTCATGAGAAAAACTTCAAGATCAAATTTGAGGAAACGATTACAGGTAAGGACCCTAGTATTAAAACATTGCATTAGAATTATATCTAAAGACCCAACTTCCTGACCAATAAAGAAATCTTGCAACATTTCAGCTGGTGGTCTCCCAGCCTCTTCATGGACACCTACAAAGCCAGGAAATCTGGATGATATTTAATAGTTCTAAGAGCTGATAATTCTTAAAAAATGAATGCTCTTAGGAATAATATACTTACTACCATGGAAAACAATTGAGCGTAGTGGCTAAGAAGGCAAGCTATGGAATCCAACTGCCTGGGTTCAAATCTTGACCTCTACCCTATGAAACTCTCCTAGTCCCTAAATCACCATCACTGCAGCATACTCTAAAGGCTACAAATAAAGATTACTGAGATCATCTTACATTTTGCTCAGGAAGCATTTGAGGCAGGAAGGATGAAAACAGGCACAGAATTATTGTTTATTAGATACCAGTGCTTTCAGATTAAAAAAACAATTTCTCCTATACTTATTCACCTTCTCATTCTACATCAGTGATGTAAAGTTCCTTTTCTCTTCCTCTGAAAACTTGAAGCCAGTCCAGCCAGATGTAGGAGAAGTTGTGTTTCTATTGATTTGAGATGTTCAAGACATTCCTTCAAATGAAAGGATACTACATTCTCTCAGAAAAAGGAGTGTCACAAATAAATATTCCCTATATTCTTAAATTTATAAATACTAAAGGTTTGTTTTTAATAAACAAAGGATAAACAACAAATCATAGACCCTGTGTCCAGTGAACACAGGCTCCCATTCTGCCAGGGCATGTGCTGTACCAACACAGCAGTCCCAGGGCTCTGCATGACTGTGAGTTTCAGGGACACAGAGACCCATGTTTGAATCTCTAGCTTGAAGTTAGGAGTTTAATTTGAAGCAATTTATATAATCTTCTCTTCCTATGTAGATTGGGAATAATAACTACAACTATCTTGCTGTGTTTTTATGAGGGTCAATTGAGAATATAAATATAAAAGAGTTATGACAGAGGTAGTTATTATTTATCATGACAACAGCATGGTATCTTTATGGTCATAACATAGACCTACCAAAGACAATTGGAACTGCCTTTTTTACAAAAGACTGTTTTTAATTTAATAACATGAAACAAGTAACATTGAATATTTTATGCAATTGGTTTTGAAGTGACTCTAGGTATAACTTGACTCCAAAGATGTTGCAGGAAAATTATTTTCAATATTTGATATCAATTCTAAACTAAATTACGTTTATGAAACTATATTATGAAACTACAGTAAACATTTCCTCGAAAGTTATACAATGCCACCAATATGTTAGTTTATGAGACCAGATTAATTGGTTCTTACGCAGATCTTAGACTTGCTTCTCCAGCTTTTTAACTATTTGCAGAGTATCTATGATTGCAAAAGGCATACAAGGTTATGCAATCACAGATTGCATAACCAGTACCACTTGAAATTACTTATCTGTAAGGATCAGAATCTTTCCCAGCTTTAAGCCCCATGAAATACAGAAATAAACAGGTTGCTGAGACTGATGTAAAATTGTAAAACTAGTATTATAATTCCCAACTCCAAATATTTGTATTCATTATAGAAATTCTTACTTGTATTGACTTGCTCTATAGTAAACTAAATACGATTTTGAATTATATTAACAAATTTGACCTTAGAAAAATATAATTATATTTAGCATTTATCTGTGGGCAAAAAGGGGGTTTTATTTCTCAAAGTTTAAAAATCGCTGTTCTAAGTTATAGAAATTGACATTACCTACTCAAAGTTTTACACCTTAAGTCGGAAGTCCTCAACCCCTGGGCTGTGGACCAGTACCAGTCCACAGCCTGTTAGGAACCAGGTCGCAGAGCACGAAGTGAGTGAGTGAACATTACCGCATGAGGTCCACCTCCTGTCAGATCAGTGGCGTCATTAGATTCTCATAGAAGCGCAAACCCGATTGTGAACCGCAAATGCAAGGGATCTAGGTTGCACACTCCTTAGGAGAATCTAATACCCGATGATCTGAGGTAGAAAAATTTCATCCTGAAACCATCACCCCCTTCCACACCCCACCGACCCTTGTTTGTGGGAAAATTGTCTTTCACCAAATCAGTCCCCGGTTCCAAAAAGGTTGAGGACCACTACCTTAAGGAATTAACCTGTTATAAATAAAATACATACATATAAATTATAAGCCACATATAATGATATTTACAAAGTGGCATTCTTTGGGAGGGTTTTTTAAAACTGAGTAACTCTGAAGAACTATAAAAAGAAAAACTTTGAGAAAAAAAATCAAATGATTTAGATGGATGACAGATTAGAATCACAAATGGGAAGACAGTCAGGTTTTATTAAAGGACAGAATTTCCTTCTTCAAAAGAGAGAAAGAAGCAGTTCATTTTCCTGGGTTAGTGGCAGTGAGGTATCAGGTGGATGGAGACGTGGTGGAGGAGATAGGGGTTGCTCTTACTCCAAAGCTGTTGAAAATATAAGCAGCCTACTGTCTCACAGATTAGACATTCAACTTCTATTTATGCTGCCAGTGTTGATAACGATGATGACTATTTATGAGTTAATCAATAGAGGGACACTATGCCTACTATGAATAAAAACACCAATTATGGGCAGTCACTAGGGAGTGAAATACGGGAGGAAATGTAGGAGAAAAGACAAAGGGGAGAGGGGAAAAGGAAGGGAGAAATAATTGTTTACTGAATGCCTGCCCTTTTGGGGTTTGCCAGACTTATTTACATGTGGAGCTTTCCTAAATCTTCCCAGGAGCAGGTGCTATTATCACTTCCCATCAATAAGAAAACTGAAGTTGTGAAGTATTAAACTATGTACATCCATTCTACATATTTATTGCATGCCAAGTATGTTTCATCAGTGTGCTCATCTCTGAGGATATAAAGATGAAAAAACAAAACAAAATATCGCCCTACTTCAGTAAAACTACTGTCCAAGTTCTGTCAACCATCAATAAGTGACTTACCCAAAATCAAATAACCAGTAAGTGGAAAAGTATGTGAATGCAGGTTTTTCTAATTGTAGAACCTGTGCTCTTTGTACCATCATACCAGGGAAAAGCAAGGAGCTGCTTCTCCCCACTGCTTTCCTTCACAATGTTCACACCCAGAGTGTGGGCAGGTCTGCTAGCCTCCTTCTCTATACTTTCTGAGCCCTGGCTTCACAAGCTGTGCCTAGCCACCCATCAGGCTACTAAATAAATACAACAGAAGTAACTGCTTAGAAACCTGCCATAACAAATAATTACATAGGCCAAAAATTGCAATTGCTAACATATTTTGAGATATTGGCTTACATGTAATTTTTGTCTCTCTGGACATTCCCTTTTCCCTTTACCACATTTAAGCTTGTGTCTTGCTCTATGTTTCTTACCTTAGGGAAGGTATGTGTCAGGAAGAAAACAAAAACATCTGTAAGTTTCTGTTTGTCTAAAGAGCAAAGACAGGTAAATATACGGACAGAATATTTTGGAACAGAAGTATTGTTTCCCAACCCTCCCTCATTTGTTGACTAGAATGAGACTCATCTGGTGTAGCAGAGGTAGGGAGAGAGAATGGAACCTGCAGTAGGTTCACCCTCTACTTGGCTTTCTGGCAGCATTACCGGGAGAAGGTAATCCCCTCCCCGCCCCCACCAAAAAAGAGTCATGTGGTGCATTTGGATGCACATGAAATAGGAAGCATTTTGTAAGATTCTGATTCCCTAAATGTAGCACAAAATGATTGAGACTGAAGCTCCTCATGGACCAGGACAATGAAACAAGGACCAGAGGGTTTTATGACATTACCACTGCTGCCCTCCCACCCCAATGATGTAGTTGGGAAAACTGTAGCACAGTCTTGGAGGGAGGCAAAGAGAGCAAGCTGCATCCCACAAGCTCAACAGGATACAGAACTCAGAGACAAATCAGTTGAGCTATAAATATAGAGTTATGTTTCCTACACTCTTTCTTTGTACACTAATATTTATAACTCCTTCAGGGAGAGAGGAAGAATGTAGGGGAGTGAACAGGGGTAGGGAAAGGGCACTCCATTCCTCATGGCTTCAGAAAACATACCCAATTTCTTTTATTGATGGGGGAAAGGTATCACTCGCATCCCCCCCATCTCTGCCTCACATCCCCAATAATGTAAAATCCTTCTAAGCAACATCTAGTCTGCTCAGTCTAAACACCAAATCTTCACTTCAACAAGCGATGTCTTCCAGGCCCAACTATCTAGCTAAAATAAAACTTGGAGGAGTTGGTCTCTTTGTTAATGCAGGATTCTATAAACATAACAGAAAGTATAGGCTGAGCCCAACTAAATAATAAGTATATATAGCCTACTATTTTAATTTTAGCATGATACACCACATAGAGTAGGGTTCTAAATCTCATACTATCTTTCTGAGATCTGGTAAAAATCCTTTTTGCCTGGTGTAGCTGAAAAAAAAAAATAGTCTCTTTTCTTCCTGTGTCACTCCTGTTACTAGTCATCTTTGTGTTCTCCAAAGCAGGACTTCCCAGGGATGTTGATTCCTTATATTTGTAGGCTTACAGCTATTGAATAAGAGGCCTTAGTCTGCAGTTGTTCTACAAGAAAGATGAATTCCTTCAACCTTAGCTGCAAAATGTCTTATGAAAACTAGTACTCAAGAATCATTGCCTGTCTGAGTGAGAGATGTGATTGCTCCTGTTATGTGTCTGCTTTGAGTGGTCTGTGCTCAGGCAGTTTTCCTGCCTCACTGGCATTATGAAAAGTGTGTTCCACTGTCTACACATCTTGGAACACAGTGAGGCCTTTACATTGGGTAAAAACCGAAATGGATGGCAAGTCACATAAAAAATAGGAATGCCATTGTTTTAGCATAATCTTGATAAACATCCTTACTATCTGTAGCACCTCAACTAGGAGGTTTCAAAACTTAACCACATAGTACTCAATACATGGACTCCAGAAACATTACATAGATCATTGTTTACCATTATTAATTAGATACTCATGATTGATTAATCAAATAGAAAACGTGCTTAAAAATCATTTACAGAACCAAGGGCAATGAAAAAGGTATGTTGTACACACACACACACACATATGTATATATTTCAGATATCATATGAAGTAAGAAAAAAACGTTGAAGTCTAGCTTGCTTATAAGAAAATTGATTTGATTCAAAGCATTTCCCAAAGGAGAACATAATTCAGCTGATCAGCTAGTTTCCACATTCACACAACTTATTCTACATTCTACTCCTCTGAAAGCTCCAATTTGTCTACTTGCAAATACTTCTTGCAAACCACTTGGGGGTGCACAGCTGCCACTGCCTGTCAGAACAATACCAACATCCACACTCAGGGTACTGCCTGCAGATGCATTCATTACTTCCTACCTCATGCCATAGCTACATTGCTGGGGTCCGGGGGCTAGAGTGGCTGCCTGCTTCAGTGGAGAGGTTTCTTCACCTGGCCTCAAAGATACAAAGATATTCCAAAGTCTCATGAAGTTGCCCTGGCTTACTTGCATCAGATTTTGTCATGAGGCAATAGCATCAATGTCATCCAGTCCATCCTTCAGTCTTCTTTCTCCAGCTTTCCCAGATCAAGCCTTCCCCTTTCCCTATCTACAAAAATAACAGAGAATAGGGCAGTGATAGAGTTATTGGTAGGCAAGTGCTTTATTACGTGTATAGGTTTGTCTCAGATACTAAACTTTAAAAAATACATTTTATAAGGAGCTTCTTGTTTCTATTCATGTCTATTTGTATCACTGGATTTCCCAGGTAAATGACTCGAGATTTCATTATTTGGAAATTCCTTACTATATTGAAACCTTGGGAGAACAAAACACTGGTTATATATCTGGGTCATGGGATTATTGTGACTTCTATTTTCTACTTTAGATTTTTTTCTGCTTCTTTGTAGCAAGCAGGTATTAACTTAATGATCAGAAAATGTCACAAGAAAGAAGAAATGGAACCTTCTCAAGCATTTCTTGGAACTCTGTCTGTAATGTACGCAAAGATGATGATATCTGCCCTTCTGATACAAGGCCCCATGGAGCTCTAGACCATGTGTACTCCCAGAAAATTTATTCACTGGTTGAGTTCATGAGATCTTTCTTAAAAGAAATGCTCCTATCCTGGGATCCATTTTTTTCTCTCTTACTTACCCTATTCTTCCCCCTCCCCACTTTTTCTTTGTTTTGGAACACTCTCTTCTTCTTTCCTCGTCTTCCTGTTGAATAAATTTCAAGACTGAGTCCTTTCTATTATTCTTTCCTGAAATTTCATACATTCTTCTATCATAGCACCTACCACACTGCTTTAATGTTCATATATGTCCAAACATTTAACCAGGTTTTTACATAGATTAAGACTTTAGAAAATAAAGTGTCACCCGGTATTCAAGTTCTTACAAAGTTTTTGTTGCTGGGCAACACTCAGTTATTTATGTTAATTGACAAAGTATTCTTTAGTGGGTACATCTGAGTCTGAAACACCTCCATTGATGCTAACTTGGGATCTTTATATATCACCTGATTGGAGGAAATAAGGAAAACAAATTTAACTCAGAACTAGTCATTATTCCTGAGAGTAAAACTTTGCAATTCCAAATATTGGAAGTTACAAAAAAAACTAAATTTATCATTTAACACCACTAGAATAGTTGGTTGCATGAAGGTCACAAATATGTATCTACACAATGAATGGGAGGAAATTATCCTTGTCTCATACGAAAGATTAAAATCTCTACCACATGCATACATCCCCCTTTCCCCACAATGATATCTCTCAAATAATTTATATGTAAGTAAACATGATATGCTCTACAAATTTGATAGATATCTGGGTAAAAAAAAGCTCTACAGAAGACCAAAATACAAATACAAATGTTTTTTTTTTCTTTTTATTTATTTATTTATTTATTATTATTATACTTTAAGTTTTAGGGTACATGTGCACAATGTGCAGGTTAGTTACATATGTATACAAATGTTAAATATACATGTGAAGAGTTTAAATAAAATTTGGTTAATAAAATGTGAAAAGGGAAAAACTAAGTTAGTACATGATATATGTCTACATAAAATCTTAAACATAAATTTATCATTAAATTGATAAACTCAAATATTATAAACATTTCTTTTACATTGTTCAAACTTCATATATTCAAGTTTCATTTAGAAAACTAAGTTCATGTATTATAGGTAACTCTATAATTTCTTGTCTAAACAAGGGTAATTTTAAGAGTATTAGAAGTATAAATAAGCAAATGAGAAAACAGGTATAAACTGTTAGTGATTCAAGCAAGCCAATGCATATGGTCATCCATGGTATATATAGTATTATTTATGAATTTTGCTTCTTGAGGGCCAAGTCTGTTTATGTGTATTAGACATTTTTTTTTAGCCCTTGCCTAGTAAGATATGTGGCATGTGGTAGATAGTTAAATGCTTAAACTAATGAATGAATAAAATAATTAATTAATAAACAGTATTTTACAGATTTGAGTTATGAGCCAGAAAAGAAAGACCAGAATTTTATACACTCATACCGGTTATATACAAATATCCAAAAACATCAGTATAATGTGTTTTACTGCCATTTTCATCTTTGATGAATAAAAATACATAAATTTGAGTAAATAGTTATTTAGAAAGGGTTGGTTAACAACAAATGGGGAAAGGAGTTGGAGCAAGATGGCCAAATAGAAGCCTCCACTTATTGTCCTCCCCAAAGAAACACCAAATTTGACAACAACCTACACAAAAAAAGCACTTTTATAAGAACCAAAAATCAGGTGAGTGATCACGGTACCTGGTATTAACTTCATATCATTGAAAGAGGCATTGAGGAGGGTAAGAAAGACAGTCTTGAACTGCCAACACCACCCTCCCTGGCCCCCAGGAAGTGACCACATGGCAGCGTGGAGAGAGAATCTGTATTCTTGGGGGACTTTGCATTGGAACTCAGTGCTGCCAACAACAGGCAGAACTCAGCCAACACCCACAGTTGGAGTATTTAGACTATCCCTAGCCAGAGAGGAATTGCTGATGCCAGTGAGTGGAACTTGAGTTCCTGCAAGCCTTGCCACCACAGGCTAAAGTGCTCTGGGACTCCAAATAAACTTGAAAGGCAGTCTCGGCCACAAAGATTGCAACACCTAGGTGAGTCCTCGGGCTGAAGTGGGCCCAGAGACAGTGGACTGGGAATGCACATGACCCACTGAAATACCAGCTGGGGTGGCTAAGGAATGCTGACATCACCCCTCCACTAACCCCAGGCTGTACAGCTCATGGCTCCAAAGGAGACCAATTTTTTCTGCTTGAGGAGACAGAAAAGTGGAGATTATTTTGTCTTGCTTGTTGGGTACCAGCTCAGTCACAGCAGAATAGGGCACCAGTCCTAGTCATGAGGTCCCCTTTCCATGCCACAGTTCCCAGACATTTCTAGACACACCCTGGGCCAGAAGAGAACTGCAGCCTTGAAGGGAAGGACCTGGCAGGATTCATCACCTGCTGATTGAAGAAGTACTATTGAGATCTGAATAATCAGCCATGGTAACCATGTAGTACATACCATGGGCCTTGGGTGAGACTCTGAGATTTGCTAGCTTCAGGTGTGACCCAGCATATTCACAGCCATGGTGGATATGAGAAGAGACTCCTTCTGCCTGAGAAAAGGAGGCATAATAATAAAAAAGGATTTTGATTGCAGCTTAGGTACAAGCTTGGTCACAGTAGGGAAGATCACCAAGCAAGGTCTTGGAGCCCCTGATTCCAGGATTTGGCTCTTGGATGGGATTTCTGAGCCTGCCCTGGGCCAGAGGGGAGCCTCTTGCCCTGAAGGGTGAGTCCCAAGCCTGACAGCATTCACCACAAGCTGACTGAAGAGTCCTTAGGCCATAAGTGAACATTACTGGTAGCCTGAGAGTACTCCCTGTGAGCCTGTGTGGTGGTGGGCACAGGGAGAGACTATTTTGCCTGGGGAAAGTGGGAAGGACTTTGTATTGTGGTTTGAGTGCTAGCTTAGCCTTAGCAGGTAGATTTTTAAGTTTTCCAACTTCAGTCCCTGACTTCCAGACGGTATCTCTGGACCAGCCAAGGACATGAGGGAACTCACTGCTCTGAAGTGAAGGTCACAAGACTGGCTGGCTTCACCACCTGCTGGCTTTAAGGCTCTAGGGCCTTGAGCGAACATAGGTGGTGACCAGGTAGTAGTTATAGCAGGCCTTGGGAGAGACCCAGTGCTGTGCTGGATTCAGGTCTCACCCAGCCCAATCTCAGTGGTGATGGCCACAGGGGTGCTTGTGTAACCCTTCCCATAGCCTCATGTACCTCAGCAAAGAAAGAGAGACTCTTTTGTTCAGGAGAAAGTAAAAGAAGAGAACAAAAGTCTCCACCTGGTAATCCAGAGAATTCTTCCATATCTTATCCGAGACCACCAAAGTGGTACCTCTACGAGTCTTCAAGAACCACAACGTTACTAGGCTTGGGGTGCTCTGTAATGCAGATATGGCTTGCAGTGACCAAAAACTCAGATCTCAACCCCCAGGTCCCTTTGAATATGTAGAAAGCGTTCCCAGGAAGGATGGACACAAACAAGCCCAGACTGTGAAGACTGTGATAAATGCATAACTCTTCAAAGATCAGACACCAATGAACAGCCACAGGCATCAAGTCCATACAGAAAAACATGACCTTACCAAATGAAATAAGGCACCAGGGGCCAATCCTGGAGAGAGAGACATATGTGAGTTTTCAGACAGAGAATTCAAAATAGCTGTGTTGAGGAAACTCAAAGAAATTCAAGATAACGCAGAGAAGAAATTCAAAAATCTATTAGATAAATTTAACAAAGACATTGAAATAATTGAAAAGAATGAAGCAGAAAATCTGCAAGTGAATATGCAATTCACATGCTGAAAAATGCATCAGAGTCTCTTAATAGCAGAACTGATCAAGTGGACAAAAGAATTACTAAGTTTGGAGAAAGGCTATTTGAAAATATACAGTTAGAGGGGACAAAAGAAAAATGAATTTTTAAAATGAAGCATGCCTCCAGGATCAAGAAAATAGCCTCAAAGGGGCAAACAGAAGTTACTGGCCAGAAAGAAGAGGTAGAGAAAAAGATAGGGGTAGAAAGTTTATTGAAAGAGATAATAACAGAGAACTTCCCACACCTAGAGAAAGATATCAATATCCAAGTACAAGAGGCTATAATAAACGGCAGGCAGATTTAACCCAAAGAAGACAACTTCAAGACATTTAATAATCAAACTTCCAAAGGTCAAGAATGAAGAAAAGATTATAAAAGCAGCAAGAGAAAAGAACAAATAACATAGAATAGAGCTCTGTATGTCTGGCAGTAGACTTTTCTGTGGAAACATTACAGGCCAGGAGAGAGTGGAAAGACATATTTAAAGTGACGAAGGAAAAAAAAAAAACATTTACCTTAGGATAGTGTATCTATTGAAAATATCATTCAGGCATGAAGAAGAAATAAAGAACTTCTCAGACAAGCAAAGTTGAAGGATTACATCAACACCAGTCCTGTCATACAAGAAATGTTAAAGGGAGTACTTCAATCTGAAAGTAAAGGATATCAATGAGCAAGAAGAAATCATCTGAAGGTACAAAACTCACTGGTAATAGTAAGCACACAGAAAAACACAGAATATTATAACTCTGTAATAGTGGTGTATAAACTACACTTATGTAAAGCAGAAAGCCTAAATAATGAACCAATCAAAAATAATAATTATTAATATGGTTTGGCTGTATCCCCACCCAAATCTCATCTTGAATTGTAGCTCCCACAATTCCCATGTGTTGTGAGAAAGACTGGGTGGGAGGTAATTGAATCATGGGGGTGGGTATTTCCTGTGCTGTTCTCGTGATAGTGAATAAGTCTCATGAGATCTGATGGTTTTATAAGGGGGAGTTTCCCTGCACAATTTCTCTCATTTTCCTTTTGCCTGCTGCCACATAAGATGTGCCTTTCATCTTCCACCGTGATTGTGAGGCCTCCCCAACCATGTGGAACTATGAGTCAATTAAACCTCTTTTTCTTTATAAATTACCCAGTCTCAGGTATGTCCTTATTAGCAGCATGAAAATGGACTAATACATAAATTGGTACTGGTAGAGTGGGGTGCTCCTCTAAAGATACCCAAAAATGTGGAAGTGACTTTGAAACTGGGTAACAGGCAGAGGTTGGAACAGCTTGGAGGGCTCAGAAGAAGATAGGAAGATGTGGAAAAGTTTGAACTACCTAGAGACTTGTTGAATGGCTTTGGTCAAAATGCTGATAATGACATAGACAATAAAATCCAGGCTGAGGTGGTCGCAGATGGAGATGAGGAAATTGTTGGGAACTGGAGTAAAGGTGACTCTTACTATGTTTTAGCAAAGAGATTGGGGGCATTTGACCCTGCCCAAGAGATTTGTGGAATTTTGAACATGAGGGAGATGATTTAGGGTATCTGGCAGAAGAAATTCTAAGCAGCAAAGCATTCAAGATGTGACTTGTGTGCTGTTAAAATAATTCAGTTTTAAAAGGGAAATAGAGCATAAAAATTCAGAAAATTTGCAGCCTGACAATGCAATAGGAAAGAAAACCCCATTTTCTGAGGAGAAATTCCAGCAGACTGCAGAAATTTGCAGAAATAACAAGGAGCCAAATGCTGCCAAAACAATGGGGAAAATGTCTCCAGGGCATGTCAGAGGTCTTCATGGCAGCCCTTCCCATCACAAACCTGGAGGCCTAGAAGAGAAACATGGTTTCATGGGCCAAGGCCAGAGTGACCATGCTGTGTGCAGCCTAGTGACTTTGTGCCCTGCATCCCAGCAACTTCAGCCACGGCTAAAAGGGGCCCAGGTTCAGCTCTGGCCATGGCTTCAGAGGGTGCAAGCACAAAGCTTTGGCAGTTTCCATGTGATGTTGAGCCTGCAGGTACACAGAAGTCAAGAATTGAGGTTTGGGAACCTCTGCCTATATTTCAGAGGATGTATGGAAATGCCTGGATGTCCAGGCAGAAGTTTGCTGCAGGGGGTGGGCCTTCGTGGAGAACCTCTGCTAGGGCAGTGCAAAAGGGAAATGTTGGGTTGGAGCCCCCACACAGAGTCCCCAATGGGGCACTGCCTAGTGGAGCTGTGAGAAGAGGGCCACTGTCCTCCAGCCCCTAGAATGGTAGATCCACTGACAGCTTTCACTGTGCTCCTGGAAAAGCCACAGACACTCAATGCTGGCCCATGAAAGCAGGCAGGGAGGAGGCTGTACCCTGCAAAGCCAAAGGGGCAGAGCTGCCCAAGACCATGGGAACACACCTCTTGCATCAGTGTGACCTGGATGTGAGACATGGAGTCAAAGGAGATCATTTTGGAGCTTTAAGATTTGACTGCCCCACTGGATGTCAGGCTTGCATGGGGCCTTTAGCCCCTCTGTTTTGGCCAATTTCTCCTATTTGGAATGGTGTATTTATCCAGTGTCTGTACCCCCATTGTATCTAGGAAGTTACTAACTTGCTTTTGATTTTACAGGCTCATAGGCAGAAGGAACTTACCTTGTCTCAGATGAGACTTTGGACTGTGGACTTTTGAATTAATGCTGAAATGAGTTAAGACTTTGGGGAACTGTTTGAAACGCATGATTGGTTTTGAAATGTGAGGACATGAGATTTGGGAGGGGCCAGAGTCAGAATGATATGGTTTTGCTGCATCTCCACCCTAATCTCATCTTGAATGTGGCTCCCACAATTGTCATGTGTCGTGGGAGGGACCTGGTGGCACGTAGTTAAATCCTAGGGGTGGGTCTTTCACATGCTGTTCTCATGAGATTGAATAAGTCTCACGAGATCTGATGGTTTTATAAGAACATGCTGTGTGCAGCCTAGTGACATGGTGCCCTGCATCCCAGCAACCTCTTCACATGTTTTCTCATTTTCCTTTTGCCTGCCACCATGCAAGATGTGCCTTTTACCTTCTGCCATATTGTGAGGCCTCCCCAGCCATGTGGTGTGTCAATTAAACCTTTTTTTTTGAGACAGAGTTTTGCTCTGTCATCCAGGCTAGAGTGCAGTGGCATGATCTAGGCTCACTGCAACCTCCACCTCCTGGGTTCAAGTGATTCTCCTGCCTAAGCCTCCTGAGTACCTAGGACTACAGGTGCATGCCAACACACCCGGCTAATTTTTGTATTTTTAGTAGAGATGGGATTTCACTGTGCTAGCTGGGATGGTCTTGATCTCCTGACCAAACCTCTTTTTCTTTATAAATTACCCAGTCACAGGTATGTCTTTATCAGCAGCCTGAAAATGACCTAATACAATTACAATAACTTTTCAGGACATAGTACAAGAAGATATAAAGAGAAAAAACAAAAAGTTAAAAAAATTGGGCAATGAAGTTAAAGAGTATAATCTTTGTTAGTTTTCTTTTGGGGTATTTGCTTGCTTGTTTATGCAATCAGTGTTAAGTTGTCGTTAGTTTAAAGTAATGGGCTATAAGATAGTATTTGCAAGCTTTATGGTACCCTCAAATAAAAAAAACACACAATGAATACATAAAATATAACAAACAAGAAATTAAAAAATAATACCAAAAATTCACCTTCACTAAAAAGAGGACAAGAAGGAAGAAAAACTGGAAGAGAAGACTACAAAACAACTAGACAACAAATTACAAAATGACAGGAGTAAGTCCTTACATATGAATAATAATATTGAATGTAAATGGACTAAACTTGCCAATAAAAAGACATACAGTGGTTTAATAAATGAAAAAAGAGAACCAATGTTCTGTTACCTACAAGAAACACACTTCACCTATAAAGACACATATAGACTGAAAATAAAGGGATGGAAAAAGATATTCCATGCCAATGAAAACCAAAAAAGAGCTGGAGTAGCTATACTTATGTCAGACAAAATGGATTTTGAGACAAAAACTGTAAATAGAGACAAAGGAGGTCAGTATATAATGATAAAGGGATCAATTCAGCATGAAGATGTAATGATTGTAAATATATATGATCCCAACACTGGAGCACCCAGCTATATAAAGCAAATATTATTAGAGCCAAAGATGGACCTCAACACAATAATAGCTGTAGACCTCAGCACCCTACTTTCAGCATTGGACAGGTCTCCCAGACAGAAAATCAACAAAGAAACTTCAGACTTAATATGCACTATAAATAAAACTGGTAGATATAATATTTACAGAACAGTGGCTACAGAATACACATTCTTCTCCTCAGTACATGGATTATTCTCAAGGATAGACCATATGTTACATCACAAAACAATTCTTAAAGCATTCAAAAAATTGGGGTAATATCAAGCATCTTCTCTGACCACAATGGAATACAACTAGAAATTAATAACAAGGAATTTTGGGAACTATACAAACACATGGAAATTAAACAACATGTTCCTGAATGATCAATGGGTATATAAAGAAATTAAGAAGAAAATTGAAAAATTTCTTGAAACAAAAAATAATGAAAATACAGCATATCAAAACCTATGGGATGCAGTGAAAGCAGTACTAAAAGGAAAATTTATAGCAAAAAGTACCTATATCAAGAAATAGAAAAAGACTTCAAATAAATAACCTAATTATGCATCTTAAAGAACTAGAAAAGCAAGAGCAAACCAAACCCAACATTAGTATAAGAAAAGAAATAATAGGGATCAGAGAAAAAATATGTAAATTAGAAATGAAGAAAGCAATACAAAAGATCAATGAAACAAAAAGTTCATCTTTTGAAGTGATAAACAAAATTGACAAACCTTTGGCCAGACTAATGAAGGAAAAAAAAGGGAGAAGACCCAGGCCAGGCACAGTGGCTCATGCCTGTAATCTCAGCACTTTGGGAGGCCAAGGTGGGCAGATCACTTGAGGTCAGGAGTTCATGACCAGCCTGGCCAACATGGTGAAACCCCGTCTCTACTAAAAATACAAAAATTAGCTGGGCATAGTGGTGAGTGCCTGTAATCCCAGCTATTAGGGAGGCTGAAACATGAGAATTGCTTGAACCTGGGAGGTGGAGGTTGCAGTGAGCCGATCGTGCCACTGCACTCCAGCCTGGGAGACAAGAGCGAAACTCCGTCTCAAAAACAATCAAACACACACACACAAAAACAAAAACAAAAGGGAGAAGACCCAAAAAAATAAAATCAAAGGTGAAAAAGGAGACGTTATAACTGGTACCACAGAAATTCAAAAAAACCATCAGTTGCTACTATGAGCAATTATATGCCAATAAATTGGAAAATGCAGAGGAAATTCATTAATTCCTGAACACATACAATCTACCAAGATTAAACCATGAAGAAATTCAAAACCTAAACAGAACAATAAAAAGTAATGAAGCTGTAGTAAAAAGTCTCCTAGCAATGAAAAGCCCAGGACCCAATGGCTTCACTGCTGAATTCTACCAAAGATTTAAAGAAGAACTAATACTAATCCTACTCAAACTATTCCAAAATATAGAAGAGGAGGGAATACTTCTAAACTCATTATACAAGATCATTATTACCATGATACATAAAACAGACAAAGATATATCAAAAAAAAAAAGAAAACTACTGGCCGATGTCTGTGATGAATATTGCAGAAAAATTCTGAACACAATACTAGCAAAATTAACACAACAATACATTAAAAAGATCATTCATCATGACCAAGTGGGATTTATTCCAGGGATGCAAGGATGGTTCAACATACACAAATCAATCAATATGATACATCCTATCAACACAATGAAGTATAAAAACCATATTATCACTTCAATTAATGCTGAAAAAGTATTTGATAAAATTCATACCTCTTCATGATAAAAACCCTCAAAAACATGAATATAGAAGGAATATACCTCAACATAATAAAAACCATACATATCAGACCCACAGCTAGTGTTATACTGAATGGGGGAAAACCAAAAGCCTTTACTCTAAGATCTAAAACATGACAATAATGCCCACTTTCACCACTGTTATTCAACATTCTATTCATCAGCACATGCAACATTCTCCAAGATAGACCATATGTTAGGCCACAAAATGAGTTGCAGTAAATCTAAGAAAGTCAAAATTTTATTAAGCACTCTCTCAAACCACAGTGGAATAAAATTGGAAATCAACTTCAAAAGGAACCCACAAAACCATGCAAATACATGGAAATTAAATAGACTGCTGCTGAATGATCATGGGATCAACAATGAAATCCAAATGAAAATTTAATAATTATTTGAACTGAATAATACTGACAAAACCTACAAAATCTCTGGGATACAGCAAAAGTGGTGCTAAGAGGAAAATTCATAGCATTAAATACGTACATCAAAAAGTCTGAAAGAGCACAAATAGACAATCTAAGGTCACACCTTACAGAATTGGAGAAACAAGAACAATCCAAATCCAAACCCAGCAAAAGAAAAGAAATAACAAAAATCAGAGCAGAACTAAATGAAATTAAAACAAAAAATACAAAAGACAAATGAAAAAAAAGCTAGTTCTTTGAAAAGGTAAATAAAACAGGCCATTAGCAAAATTAACCAACAAAACAAGAGAGAAGATCCAAATAAACTCAATTAGAAATGAAACAGGAGATCTTATTACTGATTCCACAGATATACAAAAGATTATTCAACATTAATCTGAACACCTTTATGAACATAAACTAGAAAACCTAGAGGAGATGGATAAATTCCTGGAAAGATACAACCCTCCTAGATTAAACCAGGAAGATATAATAACTCTGAACAGACTAACAACAAGCAGCAAGATTGAAATGGTGATTAAAAAATTGTCAACAAAACAGAAGTCCAGGATTAGATGGATTCACAGCTGAATTCTATCAGATACTCAAAGAAGAATTGGTGCCAATCCTACTGATACTATCCCACAAGATAGAGAAAGAGGGAATCCTCCCTAAATTATTCTATGAAGCCAGTATCACCCTAATGCCTAAACCAGGAAAGGACATAGCAAAAAAAGAAAACTACAGACCAATATCCCTGATTAACATATAATAGATGCAAAAATCCCTAACAAAATACTAGCAAACCGAATCCAGCAGCATATCAAAAAGATAACCCATCATGATCAAGTGGGTTTGATACTAGGGATGCAGGGATGCTTTAACATACATAAGTCCATAAATGTGATACTCCATATAAACAGAATTAAAAACAAAAAAATCAATGTTCATCTCAATAGATGCAGAAAAAGCATTTGACAAAATCCAGCATCGCTTTATGATTAAAACCCTCAGCAAAATTGGCATACAAGGGATATACCTCAATGTAATAAAAGCCATCTATGACAAACCCACAGCCAACATTATACTTATTGGGGAAAAGTTGAAAGCATTCCCTCTGAGAACTGGAACAAGACAGGGATGCCCACTTTTTGTCCAGAACAATCGGACAAGAGAAAGAAATAAAGGACATCCAAATCAGTAAAAAGGAAGTCAAATTTTCGCTTTTTGCTGATGATATGATTGCATAACTAGAAAACCCTAAAGACTCATCCAAGAAGCTCCTAGAACTGGTAAATGAATTCAGCAAAGTTTCAGGATACAAAATTAATGTACACAAATCAGTAGCTCTCCTATACACCAATAGCAACCAAGTGGAGAATCAAATCAAGAACTCAAGCTCTTTTATAATAGCTGCAAAAAATAAAATAAAATACTTAGGAATATACCTAATCAAGGAAGAAAAGACCTCTACAAGGAAAACTACAAAACACTACTGAAAGAAATCATAGATGACACAAACAAATGGAAACACATTCCATGCTCATGGATGGGTAGAATCAATACTGTGAAAATGACCATACTGCCCAAAGCAACCTACAAATTCAGTGCAATTCCCATCAAAATACCACCATCATTCTCTTCAAAGAACTAGGAAAAAAACCCTAAAATTCATATGGAATCAAAAAAGAGCCCACATAGACAAAGCAAGACTAAGCAAAAAGAACAAATCTGGAGGCATCACATTACCCAACTTCAAACTATGCTGTAAGGTCATAGTCACCAAAACAGCATGGTACTGGTATAAAAATAGGCATATAGACCAATGGAACAGAATAGAGAACCCAGCAATAAAGCCAAATACTTACAGCCAATTCATCTTCGACAAAGCAAACAAAACATAAAGTGGGGAAAGGACATCCTATTCCACAAATGGTTCTGGCATAAGTTGCAAGCCACATGTAGAATAATGAAACTATATATATATATAAAATGGATGGAATTGGAGACTATTATTCGAAGTGAGGTAACTCAGGAATGGAAAACCAAACATTGTATGTTCTCACTCACAAGTGGGAGCTAAGCTATGAGGACACGAAGGCATAAGAATGACACACTGGACTTTGGGGGAAAGGGTGGGAGGGGGTGAGGGACAAAAGACTACACACTGGGTACAGTGTACACTGCTCGGGTGATGGGTGCACTAAAACCTCAGAAATCACCACTAAAGAACTTATTCATGTAACCAAACACCACCTGCTCCCTAAAAATCTATTGACATTAAAAATAAATTTTTAAAAAGAGTAAACCAATTAAGAAAATGAAAAAACAAACCACAGACTCACATTTACAATAACGGTGACAAAGGGGACTGGTGCCCAGAATATATAAAAACTCCTACTCCTACAACCTATACTAAAAATACAAACAATATCCCAAAAATAATCCAAAAACTCTCTTCAGAGAAGAAGATACACAAATGGACACACACACACACACACACACACACAGCGAGAGATACATACACAGACATACACAAAAAAAGTGCTCAAAATAATTCGTCACTAGGAAACTGCAGATTAAAACGACGAGAAACCACAATACAGCGACCTGAATGTTTAAAATTAAAATGAATAAAAGCATCAAATATTGACAAGAATGTAGAGAAACTGGAGTTTTCTTATACAGTTAGTGGAAATGTAAAAGGATCTTGTAGATTTTTATAAAACTAAACCTACCTTATGACCTATTCCACAGTATTTATCTCAGAGAAATGAAATCATATGTCAAAAAATTATATAAGAATGTCCATGGCAATTTTATTAATAATAGCTAAAATTTGTAAGTATGTCAAGAGTCCATCAATAGAAGGATGAACAAACACACTACTATATATTTATACAAAGGAATAGTACTCTGAACTGAAAAAAGCAACAAAATATGGGTACGTGCAACAGCATAGATGAATCTCAAAATCATCCAGAGTCAGTGAAGCCTTACACAAAAGAGTATATAAAATATTATTCCACTTATACAAAGTTCTAAACAAGCAAACTAATCTATAATGGTTGCTTCATGAGGTTGAGGCAGTAATTAACTGAGAAGGGGCTTGAGGGAACTTCCTGGAGTGATAATTTTCTATATCTGAAAAGGTGTTTGTGTTTGTCAAAACTCAGCTAATGTTCACTTAAGATTTGTGACATTTAATTGTATATAAATTTTACCTCAAAAGAAAAATCCTGTAAATAAACATATACGAAGTTATAGGTTAAGTCCCCAACAGCAATTTACTTTGAAATGCATCCAATAAAAAGAAAGACTAATCAAAACCACAATGAGATACCATCTCACACCAGTTAGAATGGCAATCATTAAAAAGTCAGGAAACAACAGGTGCTGCAGAGGATGTGGAGAAATAGGAACACTTTTACACTGTTGGTGGGACTGTAAACTAGTTCAACCATTGTGGAACTCAGTGTGGTGATTCCTCAGGGATCTAGAGCTAGAAATACCATTTGACCCAGCCATCCCATTACTGGGTATATACCCAAAAGACTATAAACCATGCTGCTATAAAGACACATGCACACGTATGTTTATTGTGGCACTATTCACAATAGCAAAGACTTGGAACCAACCGAAATGTCCAACAACGATAGACTGGATTAAGAAAATGTGGCACATATACACCATGGAATACTATGCAGCCATAAAAAAGGATGAGTTCATGTCCTTTGTAGGGACATGGATGAAATTGGAAATCAACATTCTCAGTAAACTATCGCAAGGACAAAAAACCAAACACCGCATGTTCTCACTCATAGGTGGGAATTGAACAATGAGAACACATGGACACAGGAAGGGGAACATCACACTCTGGGGACTGTTGTGGGGTGGGGGGAGGGGGGAGGGATAGCATTAGGAGATATACCTAAAGCTAAATGACTAGTTAATGGGTGCAGCACACCAGCATGGCACATGTATACATATGTAACTAACCTGCACATTGTGCACATGTACCCTAAAACTTAAAGTATAATAATAATAAAATAAAAATAAATAAAATAAAATAAAAAAGAAAGACTAATGGATGGTGAGAGGGATGAGAGATGAATATATATGCTATAGGACAAACATAGTAAAATATTGTTGGTAGAATTTGTGTGGTGGGTACATGGGACTATAATTTTTTTAAGAAAATTGTATACTAGCAAATTTCCATAGTAAAATGTCAAGAAAGTACTTATATATCTGCATAACTAAAACGTGTGGATTTGAAGACTCCGTGCCACTTATGCCTTGCACATTTGATTCTGTATACGACGTTGTGTGCCTCTCTCCTGTCTCTTCCCTTCTCTCCCAACCTTCTTTCCTCTCTCCTCCTCTTCTCTTCCTCTCCCTCCCTCTCACTTTCCTTCCTCACTGTTCTTTCTCCTCGTTGCCACAACACTACATCTCTACATGTCTCTCTAACTCCCCACCTACCCGCATCCTTAAAAGTGAAAAAAGGAAGCTCGGGTGAAAATATGGATATCCAAATACATTTTTGAACCATCTTCATTATGATGAAAACTATGAGAAGTCAGTGGCCATTCTTAATAAACGTATGATCTGATTGTGAACCATGAATATATATATTGATATATGGAATTAATTTCAAATTAAAGTAACAAAGCCATCAGCCAGTTTACAGACCATATATGGTGCTCCACTGGTACAGAGAGGAAAGACTGTGGAAGATTTTTTTTCTCCTTTGTTAACTGATGGCTAGAAAAGTGCTCAACATATTGTATGTACTCAAAAAATATTTACTGAACAGCATATATGTACATTCACATATATATATATGTATATATATACGCACAGACACAAAGAAGATGGAAGATGCCTAAATAATTTTCTTCATGATTTTGCTCCAAATCAGTTCTAGCATTAAGAACTAAACACTGTTGGGCTGGGAAAAATAAAAATTATTCTACTCACAGCCCTGAGCATGAGGCCAAGTCTACAATTGTGGAGGCCCCTGCTCAGCTCAATTGCTCTATGCCTTCTCCTACTTTGAAAAGTTTACTCACAAGACCGTGTTATGACTTTGCTGGACTCTAGGCACCTTTGCCTTTATTACACCTTCCTTCATTAAAAAAATATTTAAAGTTACATTTTATGACTTTCTTGGCATACAGACAGCTATATCCCAGCCTGGGTTTATTATTTTTTATTTCCCTTTTTTAGATTTTCAAAGATATTAAAATTGTTTTCATTGTCAACAGCTGCTGTAAGTATCATGGTTTCTAGGCACTGTTCTTTCTGTGCCTAGTGAATGAAGTGGTTCTGACTGCAGGGCTTCCTTTTTGAATTTGTATTGCTTTTTAATATTTTCCTTCCTCTTACCAACTTTCTAACCATCTCAAAACATCGTCAGTGATGACAATGTGTACTTTGGGCTCTACTCCCGGACTTGAAATCTTTTAAAAAATAACTTTTCAATAGAAAAATTCATTTCTTTGGCAGACAACCTTTTAATTTCTCTCTTTGACAGTAGAGAAGTCAGTCTGTTATACATTTATCCTCTTCCCAAGTAGAGCTCAGCTTGACCAGAGAGCATCTATTGAATTGAGAGAGTGAGGTTGAATATGCACTGAGCTTCTAAATGGAGTAGTTCTAATGTCTCCTAATGCTTATGATGTCACCTAATATAAATGAAAAGCCTGTTCTTTCTCCAGCAGTCTTGAAGTGGATTTTAAAATAAATAGGAGTAGGAATCTTTTCATTTAAAAAACGCATTAAAAAGGCATATTAGAGAGTCTACTAATTTTAGAAAACATTGACCTGTATTACCTTTTTCTAGTTCTAAGACCAAAGAATGCTGAAGATGATAATTTTTCCGGAAGTGGAGACTAAAACCATTTACTTAATATATGTATTTTGAGAATGTATATATGCTCTATGGTGTCGTTGACACTAGGGATACACAGAAGTGGGTAAAACACTATTTCTGCTCTGGAGGAATTTGAAGTCTATAAGAGGACATAAACTTAGCAATAAATAATGTCAATAAAATGTGTTAAATTCTATGATAGGAAAATACACAAAAAACAAGTACCATATAAATAAAGAAGGCTTCAGGGATTATTCCCAACTTTATCTTCTCACCTCCTATGAGGATTATCATACAGACACATCCACACCCATGCAACTTGAGGCACATCTCTGTAGGCAGAGTATATTTCCCATCCCATTATCACGCTTGGCCATGTAACCTGCCTGGGCCTATGGATTATAAGGAGAAGTGACACCGTGCCAATCTTAAACAGAAGCTTTAACATGAACTGTTTGTTTTGGCTTGGTCTCAAGCAGTTCTTCCCTTTGCCATGAAAATTGCATGTCCTAGACAGAGACATTCCCTTCATCCTGGATCCTAGAATAAGAATATATATGTACCCAAACACAAGATAACCAGGATAAGCTGCATTAAAACCGCTCCACACACCCAAGAGCAAGAAAAAAATGCTATTGTTTAAGCTATTGAGCTTTTTTTGTTTGTTTTACTATAGCAAAGTCTGACCAATATAAATTAGTTTGGCCATCTTAGCAGATCCCAGGTTTTCTGCCTGACAAAGCTACACGTTTGTAACTTAGAAACAGAAAGTATAGCACTCGACTGGCATTAATACAATTACTGGGAAAAGAGAACATAAAACATAATAAAACATGATCGTTTACCATGGTTTCTTGAAAAGATCCAAATTATATTCTAAAAAGATATGGGTAATACCTGATTTGATAAACTTCTTGTGAAACTTGTACATGCATACTTTTCTGATGGTATTATAATTGGGTCCCAAGCCCTTAGAAAAGTAATTATAAGAACTGGGAAGGCCAGGCACGGTGGCTTATGCCTATAATCCCAGCATTCTGGGGGGTCAAGGCAGGCAGATCACCTGAGGTTAGGAGTTCGAGACCAGCCTGGCCAACATGGTGAAACCCCATCTCTAATAGAAATACAAAAATTAGCCTGGCATGGTGGCACACACCTGTAATCCCCGCTACTCAGGAAGCCGAGGCAGTAGAATCACCTGAACCCAGGAGATGGAGGTTACAGTGAGCCAAGATCATGCCACTGGACTCCAGCCTGAGTGACAGAGTGAGACTCTGTCTCAAAAAAAAAAAAAAAAAAAAGAACTGGAAAAGTGTTCCTGTTTTGGTAAAGTAATACTATTCCTGGAAATATGTTCTAGGGAAATAATTTTTAAAATGAGAAAAAGTATCTTATTCAGAAGCTTTTATTTTTCACAATTATCCATAATGATAAAAATTATAAAATTATATATAGAGTCATATCGGCTTATTAGCTAACTTATAAAAAACAGTTTTATGGAATGTTTTGAAATATTAAACTTGTGCTTATGAACACCAGGTAGCAATGGGGCAAAGGTTTATGAAATAGTGTTAATTGAAAACAGTAGACTAAGTTGAAATGCACACTGTAATTATAATGATACAAAATGTGTAAGCATATGGGCTAAAATGAACATTGGAAGAAGTCCATGATATCTCATCTCCCTAATCCAAACTATTTTCAATATTTTCTCTCATGTGTTTTGAGATAGAACTGGAAGTGACAAAAACAACATGTTATAGCAAAGAGGCAACACTCTCATGCCAGCAATCCTTATATAATCGTGTTTAGTCTCTCATTGCTGAAAATTCTCTGAACTTTTGGTTTTAAATCTGTGTCTAGTCTAAAAAGATGTCTGCTTATTCTAATAAGAAGTCTAGTCTAGAGTTTACCCACTTGCTCATTATAAGTAAATTGCCTTTTGTTTGGCATTCATCCCCAAACGTAGTTATCTGAAGTCCAAGGTGGATGCCCATCAGAGGGATCTTTTGAAAAATATGGATTCTTGACTTCCATCCAAAGCTACTCCATCAGAATTTTGGAGGGTGGATTTCAGGACTCTGCTATATTTAAAAATCTTTCCCAGATAATTCTTATGTTGCCATGCTTGGAAACCACTTACCTTCTGCTTGAATTTTTTCATATACCTGAATAGTAGAAGTACAAGAATAGATGTTTTAGAAAATATCATCATGAAAAAAAATGTAGGAAGAGAGCCAGCAAGAAAATTAAAAAATTTCATTTTCTATTCAACTTCTATTATCTAACATTGACAACCCAGCCTTCCTGTTTTTCACTTACTTTACACTACAAAAGAATGTTTTTGAGAGAATAAAGTAATGAGGTAAGATAACTGGACTGAACTTACAAAAAGCACCTCTTTTAAAGTACGTGCCACTTAGATCCCTAGAATACAAAGAAAGGGTCCTGGAATCACAAAAACAAAAATTGGTTCATATCAACATCATGATAAATTCTCTAGTTGTGTGCCCAGCTCTGATTCATTTAAGTTCCCATCAATAATTTGGATAAGAACAGGTATAAGAACAGGTGATGGCATATCAGATTTACAGATGAGAGGTTGAAATAGTGATTCATTCGATGTCAAAATCTGCCAAGATTATTTATAGGCTAAAACAAAGAATAAATAAAGGGAAGTAAAACCTAAAAAAGATAATTGTATCTTACACTTGAGTCCAAAAATTTCCTGATATAAAATATGGGTGACATGATTAGACAGTGATAAATACATAAAAAATTTAAAGGGTAGATGGATTACAAGCTCAATATAAAAATGAATTGGAGGTGGGGAATAGAAGGAGCCTGATTATTAATTGATTCCAAGATGTGGCTGCTGAAAATTTTTTTTTAAATATATAAACTAATTTAATTTTAGGCTGCATTTATACCTATGCTACCTAGAATAAAGGGAGTGATCATTATGCTTCATAATTTACTAGAGTCTAGCAGATAGTAAATAATGAGCACTGAATTTTTGAGCAACTGAACTATATATTTTAAAATATAGGGAATCAAACTAGAAATTATGATATGTTAGAAATAATTGAAACAAATAAGAATATTTAATATGGAAATTTAAGGAAGGGGAATTTTTCTATTAGTAAATAAATATTTATTTTCCTTAGGCATAAAAAGTTTATTTTATTTCGTATTCTCTTTCCCAGCAGTAGTTTACTTTTTAAAAATTATTTTATTTTTGGTTGAAAAGTAATAATTGTATACATTAATTGGGTACAATGCATTGTATATTTCAAAATTGCTGAAAGAGTACATTTTAAATGTTCTTACCACAAAGGAATAAGTAAGTGAAGTAATAAATATTTTAATTAGCCTTATTTAATCATTATACAATATATATATGTATCATAATACACATTATACTCTACCAGCACGTGAATTTTTTTTTTGGAGACAGTCTCACTTTATCACCCAGGCTGGAGTGCAGCAGCGCAATCTCGGCTCACTGCAACCTCTGCCTCCTAGGTTCAAGCAATTCTCGTGACTCAGCCTCCAGAGTAGCTGGGATTACAGGCATATGCCACCACGTCTGGCTAATATTTGTATTTTTAGTAGAGACGGGGTTTCACCATGTTGGCCAGGCTCATCTTGAACTCCTGACCTCAAGTGATCTGCCCACCTCGGCCTCCCAAAGTGTTGGGATTACAGGCATGAGCCACCGCACCTGGCCCAGAATATTTTAATTATTACAGGTGGAAGAATAGATAGATATGAACCAGGGGTAGAAATTACAAATCCTATCAAATTTATAAAAGGAAAAGGCTAAGAAGCTGTTCAAGATAGAAAGAAAATAAAGGGAAATGCAATATTTCGTTCTGAGTTGAATCCTGGACCAGAAAGAAAAAAGACGTGGTTAATACAGTTAGCAAAATTTCAGTGGGATCTGTAGATTAGACGGTATTATTGCATCAAAGGTTAATTCTTCTTTAGACAGCTGTATCATGGTTATATTAGAGACTGTCCTTGTTCTTGGGAAATATCCATTAGAGGATTGTAGGAAATGGTACAATGTGTCTAAAAATTGATCTTAAATAGTTTTGAAGAAGATTAATAATTAAATAGAGAGTGAGAGACAAAGATAGATCAAATGTAGTCAAATGTTAAGAATACAGGATATTGTGGCGAGAAACATGCAGATGTTGCAAGTTTTATATAGTTTTGACATCATCTTAACATAAATTATATAAAAAGTTAAACTGAAGAAAGAATCGGGAAAATTTATATATGAGAAATTAAGTTGAATTTGGTCCAGTTTCATAATTCCCCCTTGCCTCTGGCTAAAAGAAATTAAACCTTCTCTAGATAAAGGAATCCCCAACCAGCTCTTCAGATTCCCAAAGATTCAGGTCAACTAATTATCTCATAAGAAAAAAATTCACCAAATACATGAATATCCATAATTCACCAAGAAAGAACCAGCATAAATAACAAATAATAAATTTAGAACAAGGCTTTACATATTAAAATTTCCAAATGAATAATATGTAATAAATATATTTAATGCATATAAAGAAATAAAAACTATAATCCAAAGAAATTAACAACAAATAGTGTATTATCAAAAATAGCCATGCCTATTTGACAATGTACCAAGAGATCTTTTAGAAATAAAAATATAATTATTGGGGCCGGGCGTGGTGGCTCACGCCTGTAATCCCAGCACTTTGGGAGGCCAAGGCGGGTGGATCATGAGGTCAGGAGATCGAGACCATCCTGGCTAACACGGTGAAACCCCGTCTCTATTAAAAATACAAAAAATTAGCCAGACGTGGTGGCGGGCACTTGTAGTCCCAGCTACTCAGGAGGCTGAGTCAGGAGAATGGCGTGAACCCGGGAGGCAGAGCTTGCAGTGAGCCAAGATTGTGCCACTGCACTCCAGCCTGGACGACAGAGCGAGACTCCATCTCAAAAAAAAAAAAAAATTATTGGAATGTGTATTAGTCTGTTTTCACGCTGCTGATAAAGACATATCCGAGACTGGGAAGAAAAAGAGGTTTAATTGGACTTAAGAGTTCCACGTGGCTGGGGAGGTCTCAGAATCATGGCAGGAGGCAAAAGGCACTTACTTCTTACATGGTGGCAGCAAGAGAAAATGAGGAAGATGCAAAAGCAGAAACCCCTGATAAAACCATCAGATCTCGTGAGACTTATTCATTACCACAAGAACAGTATGGGGAGAACCGCCCCCATGATTCAATTTATCTCCCACCAAGTCCCTCCCACAACATGTGGAAATTATGGAAGTACAATTCAAGATGAGATTTCGGTGGGGACACAGCCAAACCATTATCAGAATGTATTACTCAGTTGTTGGTAGAATAACTAAGAGAAAAAATAGGTAACTAGAAAATAGATTTTAAAAAAGGTGTTTGTCAGAATGCAGCCCAGAAATATAAAAATATAAAGGAATATAAAAGAGTGGTTAAGCAGTCTAAAATTTAGAATAAGATCTAACACTCCAATTGTAATTCCAGAAGAGATAAAAACAAAACATTGGGAGAGACAATATTGAAAGAGATAATAACTGAGTATAACTCCACCAGCACAAAATCAAGAAAGGGTACATATAAATAAAACCATAACCTAGACATACCAAAATCAAATTTCAGGGCAATGAAGACAAGAGAAGATGAGAAAAGCACATAGAGAAAAAAAATAAATCCTCTCAAAGAAAAGATAATTAGGCTGCTATTCTCAATAGCAGCAATGATATTTGGCAATGATAGGAGCCAAAATTAAGAGAATAAAGTGCCAAGAGTAAATAAATATTTAACCAGTCTTTGTGTTTCAAGATTTTCTTAATTTTGTTTTTTATTTTTTGAGATTACAAAGCCAATCCCAAACAATAATCCCGTGAATGCAAGAATTGTGGGCTTCCTCTATCCTCCTTCATTTCTGTTTGTAAATTTGTAAATTTTTCTCTAGGTGTGTATGTTTCTCTTCATAACTGAGCAAAGACAGACATAACAACCAACACAAATCACAAAATTTTTTTTTCTCACCCTCTCTTCTATTGCAACAAGTTTGTTAGGTACAAAGATCTTCCCCAAAAAACCATGGGCATTAATTTCACTGAATGTTTTGCCATTACATGAATGGATTGCCATGTTTCCAGCCTTTGATAGCAATTTCCTCACTAGCCACACTCTGACCATTAAGTCAATGCCAACTGCTTTGTGTATTTTAGGTTGTTGGTAGGCATCCTACTTTGAGTCACAATTTCTGTATAGGTCAAGATGGCATAGGTAAGCACCAACTCAAATGTCCCAAATCTCAGGGATTTAAAATAAAGGTTTGCTAGGGGCTCTGTTTCACAAACCTCAAGGACGCAGGCTAAGAAAGAATCCACCATTGGAATGTCACTTCCTGTAGTAGAAACCAAGACGCACTGTCCAAAACCCTCTTGGAAGAAGTACTTTCTGCCTGGCTGCAGGCAGTAGAGTCATTAGACACCTTCCTACATGTCAGAAGTGAGGCCCTTGCCTCAGTTTGTATGTAAGTGCAAAATTTAAAGGGCAACCAAAAAAAAATCAGTAATCAAGATAAGTCACACTTGAATTAAATGTTTTTAAAAATCAAAATTAATGCAAAAATTTATTATAAAGAAAATATCAAATTTTAAAAAAAGATTGGCTATCAGCTTCTCCGAGGTCATTGTCAGCTCTAGAAAGCTCCTTTGCCCTAGGTCACATTCTTCCTGGGGCAGCCAGCATCTGGTGACTCAGTGAGGTTGGGGTTTATAGGCCTGACTGTTGAATCCCAAAGTATAATGTTGAGTGAAAAAAGCAAGTTGCAGTTAAATATAAACAGTATAATTTAAATTCTTTAAAGTTTATAATATTCAAACATGTATCCTAAAATTCTAACTAAACGTATGCATAGAACATAAAATTTGTCAGTATTAGAAAAAGAACATGATTTGGAGTGGGGCACACATAGGCTTAAAATATATTAATGATTTTTTAGTTCTAATTTGGGGTGTGTGTTTATTTTAGGGCTCCTTATGTCTTAAAAACATATAGAGACAGATCTTAAACTAAGATAAATAAAAGGTTAGCATTATGAATGACTTTATAACCAAACATCTAAAGCAATATGCATGATATAATCCTATATACATATAGTTTACAGATGTAATAATAGAAAAATGCACACACACACAAATATACACACACAAAAACATACACACAAAAAGTCCTTTTCCTTGGGCATTTTAAGGCTTCTATCCTCCAATTTTTAAATAAATGTCATAAAAAAATTTTTATTATAATTGTTTTTCATAATTGTGAATATAATGCCATATATCTGTAATTCTATAACTAAAGGTATACTTCCATTGGTTAGACATAACTAAGGAATATTTAACTAGAAATCTTACATCCATATGGAAACAGAAGAACAACACATTCCCTTTGTTTTCTCAGGCTTGAAGTTAAATGTCAAAATCTTAACATTGTTAATAGTTTATGTGCTTCAAATAGATAAGTAAGGAAAGCCAAAACACTCCTTTCTCTCCAACTAGTCAATGTGCTCTTGACATAATAAGGTTTTGGTCTCTACAGTCTACAAGGTAATTGATGAGACACTTCTCAGGTCATAATGGCTTTTTGATTCACTCACATTTAGACATCTTGACCTGAATTGCAGTAACTAAAGTGAGTCCTGACAATCTGTGAACAGCCTTAAATCAAACATGAGAATGAGAAGAAAACATTTCTTTGAGATTTCTATTACATCACGTTCTAACGCTCCTTTTATTGTACTCAAACTGTGTTCAGGGTTACACAGGCAGGACGACTTCTCAGACCTACTTGATATAAAGGCTTCTGTGAAAACCTCTGGGAAGGAGAGGGAGGTGGGAGCGGGCCAGGTATCATATTCGTAGCCAAAGCAGGTATTATGAGTCCTATTCATATGGCATTGAAGCAACAGGTCAGGCTATTCAAAGCTGAAATAAGTCTGTTCGCAGGTTAATGTCATGATGACCTAGTCAGTACTTGGAGCAAGTAAATACAACAATACTGTAGAAAAGGCCAACACAGAGAAAGCTCTGCAACAGTCACATTTTTCTTAAGGATCTTCTAACTTCTCCTTCTGTCATCTTTTCCACTTTGTGTGGTCTCTGTCAAAACTAAGATTCTTAGTTACACTGTGCTCTCCCTCCTCTCCTCCTAATATTCAAAACTTTTGTTCAGACAGTTGTCCCTTTGGAAAGAAAAGGAGAAGTAAATTCACACTGATGTATGTGACTGCAGTAATGCATTGCTATTCCTAATAAGAGTCTACCATTAATTCCATCACATTACATAATAACTCATCTTGTTGTTATTTTCTGTTTCCCTCTAGTAGACTGTAAGCTTCCTGACAGCAGACCTTGTTTTTCTCTGCTGAATATCCAGCCAACCTAAAAGAAAACATGATGTAACTCACTCATTTTTTTAAGCCACATTTCTAATTACCCTCCAATGTACCAGTCACAAAACATAGATAGCCATGTCCTGCTAGAAGCCAGGGGACTGTTCTTGGTACACATGGCTCCCAGGGTAGAGTATGGAAAATACAGCAACCAGAGTGAACCTCAGTCTCAGGTCATAGGATGGCATGACAGTCACTGAGTAGGCTCTCAGAGGTGTCTTCTCTTAGGTAAGGGGCTGCTGAGTGATCACTGGCAGGAGGCAAGTGGTAGAAGTGGGGAAAGACTATGTCCACACAGCACCTACAGAATGTTCTCTGAAGATCACCAGGGCCAGATGAATAGACACTAAAATTAACTCCTGGTGCTTATGGAGGTAAAGCCATTGATGAACTGTAGAAAAGCCAGACCAAGGAGGTAGTTGTCAGCCAGAAAAATAAATATTATTTGTCCTTATCTGCCCACCTACTGACCTGTGATTTCTTCCCTTTTGACTTTTCATGTCCCTTCTCTCTGGGTTTTCATTAGCCAAAGAGAATCATTCCTTCTTGTTTGAGCCAATAGAATAAGATCACGAAAACTTGGCTAGATTATGGCAGATAGGAGGCAGGACTAGATTACAGCTCCCACTTGGATGGACAGAGCAGAGTGTAGAGAATCTCATTGTGAACTTTTGCTCCAGAACTACTGCAGGAATAATCCAGGAAAGCTGAGAGAACCCACAGACCCTCTAAAGGAAGCAGATTGCTCCTATAGGACCCAGGAGACACCCCAAATACTATGAGTGCCTAAGCTGTGGAAGTGGGAAAGGGGGACTGTCCACCCCCGAACACATACCCTCACTGGGGAATCTGAAAGTCTAGATCACAGGAGAAGATTCTGACCTTACCTGGAGCTGAGTAAATTTAGAGAGCTGAGCAAAATACAAGGGTAGAGAAAGCTGTGGGAAAAGCTCTGTAGGCTCTCTGGGTCCCCTGGGAAGCCATTTCTGCTTTGTCTCACAGGGGTCCTTGGGGAGGGCTGCCAGGGGTACCAGGAAAAGACCACATGGAGAAGGAAACCTCCAGCTGAACTTTTAACAATTACAACCAAGTGCAAAGTCTCTTGGCCAGAACTTGGGGAGAGCATGAATCCAGTGTGCAGACTCCACAGGCCCAAAAGCCCTGCTTGCTTTTGCAGCTGGGAGGCTGATAGCCTGGGGCAAGTTCTCAACCCTGCTCACCCACTGCCTGGAAACAGACTTGGTACTATTGAAGGGGGGCACAGTGGGAGTGAGACCGGCCTTTTGGGTTGCATGGGAGCTGGGTGAGGCCTGTGACTGCTGGCTTTCCCTCACTTCCCTGACAACCTGCATGACACACCAGAGGCAGCATAATTCTCCTGGGAACATAACTCCATGGTCTTGGGAACAACACCCCAATCCCCCACAGCAGCCACAGCAAGACCTGCCCAAGGAGAGCCTGAGTTCAGTCATGCCTAGCCCTGCCCCCACCTGATGGTTCTTTTCTACCCACCCTGGTAGCTGAAGGCAAAGGACAAATACTCAGGAGTTCTAGGGCCCCACTCACCACCTAAGCCTCCCTATACTACCAGAGCTGATACTCTCCTAAAAGTGCCACCTCCTGGCAGGAGGCCAACCAGCATAAAAATAGTGCACTAAACAACCAAAATTAAGGACCCTCACAAAGTCCATTTCACCCCCCTACCACCTCCACCAGAGCAGATGTTAGTATCTATGGCTGAGAGATCTGCAGATGATTCACCTCACAGGACTCTGTGCAGACAATCCCCAGTACCAGCTCAGAGCCTGGTAGACCTGCTGGGTGGCTAGATTCAGAAGAGAGATAACAATCACTACAGCTCAGTTCTCAGGAAGCCACATCCCTAGGAAAAGGGGGAGAGTTCTATGTCAAGGGAACACCCTGTGGGACAAAAAAATCTGAACAGCAGCCTTGAGCCCTAGATTTTCCCTCTGGCATAGCTTACCCAAATGAGAAGGAACCAGAAAAACAATTCTGGTAATATGACAGAACAAGGTTCTTTAACTCCCTGCCAAAATCACACTAGGTCACCAAACCAAGAAGAAATCCCTGATTTACCTGAAAAATAAATTTGTTATTAAGTTAATCAAGGAGGCACCAGAGAAAGGTGAGGTCCAATATAAGGAAATAAAAAAAAATGATACAAGAAATGAGGGGAGAAATCTTCAGTGAAATAGATAGCATAAATAAAAATCAATCAAAACTTCAGGAAATAAAGAACACACTTTGGGAAACGCAAAATGTTCTGGACAGCCTCAGCAATAGAATCGAACAAGCAGAGGAAAGAACTACACAGCTCGAAGACAAGATTTTTGAGTCAACCCAATACAACAAAGACAAAGAAAAAATAATTTTAAAAAATGAACAAAGTCTCCAAGAAGTTTGGGATTATGTTAAATGACCAAACCTAAGAATAATTGGCATTCCTGAGAAAGAAAAGACATCTAAAAGTTTGGAAAACATATTTGGGGAAATACTTGAGATAGACTTCCCCAGCCTTGCTGGGGATGTAGATATCCAAATACAAGAAGCTCAAAGAATATCTGGAAAATTCATCACAAAAATATCATCACCTAGGCACACTGTCATCAGGTTATGTGAAGTCAAGATGAAGGAAAGAATCTTAATAGCTGTGAGGCAAAAGCAGCAAGCAACTTATAAATGAAAACCTATCAGATTAACAGCAGATTTCTCAGCAGAAACCCTGCAAGCTAGAAGAAATTGGGGCCCTATTCAGCCTCCTTAAAAAAAAAAATTATCAGCCAAGAATTTGGTATCCAGTGAAACTAAGCTTCATAAAGGATGGAAAGATTCAGTCTTTTTCAGAAAAACAAATGCTGAGAGAATTTACCACTACTAAGCTAGGACTACAAGAACAGCTAAAAGGAGCTCTAAATCTTGAAACAAATTCTGGAAACACATCAAAACAGAACCTCTTTAAAGCATAAATCTCACAGGACCTATAAAACAAAGATACAAAAAGAAAAGGCATATAGGCAACAAATAGCATGATAAATGGGATAGTACCTCACATCTCAATACTAACATCGAATGACCTAAATGCTCCATTTAAAAGATACAGAATTGCAGGTTGGATAAAAATTCACCAACCAACTACCTGCTGCCTTCAAGAGACTCACCTAACACACTAGGACTCACATAAACTTAAGGTAAAGGGGTAAAAAAAAGACATTCCATGCAAATGTACACTAAAAGCTAACAGGAATGACTATTCTTATACCAGACAAAACAAACTTTAAAGCAACAGCAGTTCAAAAAGACAAAGGTGGACATTACGTAATGATAAAAGGCCTTGTCCAACAGAAAATTATCACAATCCTAAATACATATGCACCTAACACTGGAGCTACCAAATTTATAAAACAATTACTAGTACACCTAAGGAATGAGATAGACAGCAACACAATAATAGTGGGGGACTTCAATACTCCACTAACAGCACTAGAGAGATCATCAAGACAGAAAGTCAATAAAGAAATAATGGACTTAAACTATACCCCACAACAAATGGACTTAACAGATATTTACAGAACATTCTACCCAACAACCACAGAATATATATTTATTCATCAGCACATTGAACATTCTCCAAGATAGACCATGTAGTGGGTCACAAAACAAGTATCAAAAAAGTTAAGAAAACTGAAATATCAAATACTCTCTCAGATCACAGTGGAACAAAACTGGAAATCAACTCCAACAGGAACCTTCAAAACCATGCAAATACATGGAAATTAAACAACCTGCTCTTGAATGATCATTGGGTCAACAAGGAAATCCAGATGGAAATTTTAAAAATTCTTTGAACTGAATGATATTAGTGACACAACCTATCGAAACCTCTGGGATAAAGCAAAGGCGGTAATAAGAGGGAAGTTCATAGCCCTAAATGCCTACATCAAAAAGTCTGAAAGAGCACAAATAGACAGTCTAAGGTCACACCTCAAGAAACTAGAGAAACAACAACAAACCAAACCCAGCAGAAGAAAGGAAATAACCAAGATCAGAGCAGAACTAAATGAAATTGAAACAAACAAAAAACAATACAAAAGATAAATGTAACAAAATGCTGGTTCTTTGAAAAGATTTTTAAAAAGTTGATAGAGCATTAGCAAGATTAGCCAAGAAAAGAAGAGAGAAAAATCTAAATAAACTCAATTAGAAACAAAATGGGAGATATTACAACTGACACCACAGAAATACAAAAGATCATTCAAGGCTACTATGAACACTTTTATGCACATGTACTAGAAAGCCTAGAGGAGATGGATAAATTCCTGGAAAGATACAACCCTCCTAGCTTAAATCAGGAATAATTAGATACCCTGAACAGACCAAAAGTAACAAGCAGTGAGATTGAAATGGTAATTTAAAAAAATTACCAACAAAGAAAGTCCAGGACCAGACAGATTCACAGCTGAATTCTACCAGACATTCAAATAAGAATTGGTACCAATCGTATTGACACTATTCCACAAGACTGAGAAAGAGGGAATCCTCCCTAAATCATTCTATGAAACCAGTATCACTCTAAATACCAAAACCAGGAAAGGACATAACAGAAAAATAAAACTATGGACCAATATCCTTGATGAAAATACATGCAAAAGTATTTAACAAAATACTATCTAACCAAATCCAGCAACATATCAAAAAGATAATCCGCCATGATCAAGTGGGTTTCATACTAGGGATGCAGGAATGGTTTAACATATGCAAGTCAATAAATGTGATACACCACAAACAAAATTAAAAAACAAAAATCACATGATCATCTCAATAGATGCAGAAAATGCATTTGACAAAATTCAGCATCCCTTCATGATTAAAACCCTCAGCAGCAAAATTAGCATACAACGGACATATCTCAATGTAATAAAAGCCATCTGTGACAAAACCACAGCCAACATAATGCTGAATGGGGAAAAGTTGAAAGCATTCCCTCTGAGAACTGGAATAAGACAGGGATGCCCACTCTTATGACTTCTATTCAACATTGTACTAGAAGTTCTATTTAGAGCAATCAGACAAGAGAAATAAATAAAGGGCATTCAAAATGGTAAAGAGGGTGTCAAACTTTCGCTGCTTGCTGATGATAAGATTGTATACCTAGAAAACCCTAAAGACTCATCCAAAAAGCTCCTATAACTGGTAAATAAATTCAGCAAAGTTTAAGGATACAAAATTAATGTATACAAATCAGTAGCTCTTTTCCACACCAACAGCAACCTAGCTGAGAATCAAATCAAGAACTCAACCCCTTTTAGAATAGATGCAAAAAATAAAATAAAATACTTAGGAATATACCTAACCAAGGAGGTGAAAGACCTCTACAAGGAAAACTAGAAAACATTGCTGAAAGAAACCATAGACACAAATAAATGGAAACACATTTCATGCTCATAAATGGGTGGGTAGAATCAATATTGTGAAAATGGCTGTACTGCCAAAAGCAACCTTCAAATTCAATGCAATTCCCATCAAAATATCACCATCATTCTTCACAGAACTAGAAAAAACAATCCTAAAATTCATATGGAGCCAAAAAAGAGCACACATAGCCAAAGCAAGACTAAGCAAAAAGAACAAATCTGGAGGCATCACATTAACTGATTTCAAACTATGCTATAAGGTCAAAGTCACCAAAACATCATGGAACTGGTATAAAAATAGGCACATAGACCAATGGAACAGAATGGAGAACCAAGCAATAAAGCCAAATACTTAGAGCCAACTGTTATTTGACAAAGCAAACAAAAACCTAAAGTGGGGAAAGGACACCAAATTCAACCAATGGTGCTGGGATAATTGGCTAGCCACGTGTAGGAGAATGAAACTGGATCCTCATCTCTCACATTATACAAAAATCAACCCAAGATGGATTAAGGACTTAAAGACCTAAAACTATGAAAATTCTAGAAGATAACATCAGAAAAACCCTTCTTGACATTGGCTTAGGCAAGAATTTCATGACTAAGAACCCAAAAGCAAATGCAATGAAAACAAAGATAAATAGGTAGGACTTAATTAACTAAAGAGATTTTGCACGGCAAATGGAACATTGAGCAGAGTAAACAAACAACCTGCAAAGTGGGAGAAAATCTTCACAATCTATACATATGACAAGGGATTAATATTCAGAATTGACATGAACTCAAACAAGTCAGCAAGGAAAAAACAAACAATCCCATCAAAAAGTGCGCTAAGCACATGAATAGACAATTCTCAAAGGAAGGTATACAAATGTCCAACAATCATAAGAAAAAATGCACAACATCTCTAGTAATTAGGGAAATGCAAATCAAAACCACAATGTGATACTATTTTACTCCTGCAAGAATGGCCATAATAAAAAAAATTAAAAAAAATAGATGTTGGCATGGATGCAGTGAAGAGAGAACACTTCTACACTGCTGGTGGGTATGCAGACTAGTAAAACCACTATGGAAAACAGTATGGAGATTCCTTCAAGGACCAAAAGTAGAACTATAATTTGATCGAGCAATCTCGCTACTGGGTATCTACCCAGAGGGAAAGAATTCATTATATGAAAAAGATACTTACACAGTCATGTTTATAGCAGCACAATTCGCAATTGCAAAAATGTGGAACCAACCCAAATGCCAAATGCCAAATACCCATCAATCAACAAGTGGATAAAGAAACTGTGATAAACACACACACACACACACACACACACACACACTGAAATACTACTCAGTCATAAAAAGGAAAGAATTAATAGCCTTTGCAGCAACCTGGGTGGGATTGGAGATTATTATTCTAAGTGAAGTAACTCAGGAATGGCAATCCAAACATGGTATGTTCTCACTCACAAGTGGGAGCTAAGCTGTGAGGATGCAAAGGCATAAGAATGACACAATGGACTTCGGGGAATCAGGAAGAAAGGGTGGGAAGGGGCTGAGGGATAAAAGACTACAAACTGGGTTCAATGTATACTGCTCAGGTGTTGGGTGCACCAAAATCTCACAAATCATCACTAAAGAACTTACTCATGTAACCAAATACACCTGTTCCCCCAAAACCTATGGAAATAAAAAATGCAAAAAAAAATCAAAACCTTTCAGTTATTTTATTATATTCATTAACTCTGATTTGATTAATTTATTTTCTTATGCAAGACCTGAGCCTTGTTATTTCAACTCTCTAAATTTCATTTTTTCATAATATGCAGATAATACTATCATGTATTTGTTATGAATATCAGGATTTCCATATTTAAAATACCTAACACAGGACAGCTAGATTATGCTTCCTTCACTTTGAAGTAGAAGATAAATGAGTTATGCTTTGAATGTTGAGTTTGCAGTGAAGCACTGTGGTCCAGAAAGGCGTTTGCCCTGAAGGTTTATGGGTTGAGTAGCCCTCATCTGAAATGCTTGAGACCAGAAGTATTTCAGATTGTTGATTTTTTGAAATTTGGAATATTTGCATATACATAATGAGATAACTTGGGAATGGAACCCAAGCCTAAACACAAAATTCATTTATATTCCCCAAATAAGGAAGTAAAAAAAAAAAAGATGTTAGCTGGAGAGAATGTGAGATCAAGGGAGGAGATACTAGATCATCTCTGCATGAGAGGATTGCTTAGAGAGAGAAGCAGAGGGAAACAATGGCTGAAATAAAGACTCTGAGAAGAATAGAGAAGACAGAATCCAGAGTACAAGTGAAAACTGACCTTTGATAGGAACAGTGACACTCCATATACTGTAAGAAAAGGGAATGTAAACAGTATGGTTTAGATGCAGGGAAACTGGAAGTGGGAAGATGGAGTTCAGTTAGGTTGCTTCCATTTCTCAATAAGATATGATGAAAGATCTTCTGCTCAGAGTAATTGGGAAGACGAGGTGTGGGAAGTCTGAAGTGAGAAAAGAAACTGTAATGCTCACAGTTTTTGACCTGTAGGAGTTCAAGTCACATGTGGGAACTCTCACTCTTGCCTTATCCTCTAACCACTAGAAAAATCCTGTTTTGGTCAGCGTTCCCCAAGAGAGACAGAACTGATAGAATATATATAAAGAGAGAAGTATTAGAAAAGGTTTATTAGGGTAATTGGCTCACTTAATTATGAAGGCTAAGAAGTACCACAATAGGCCGTCTATAAGCTGAGAACCAGGGAAGCCAGTAGCATGGTTCAGTTCAAGTCAGAATACCTCAGAACCTCATAAGCTGATAGTGTGGCTCCACCTAAGGCTAAAGGCCTTAGAACCAAGGAAGCATATGGTGTAACTCTCAGTCCAAGGTCAAAAGTCCAAGAGCCCCAGCCAGGGGCCACTGGTGTGAGTACTGGAGTCCAAAGGCCATAGAACTGGAGTTCTGACATCCAAGGGCAGGAGAAGAGCACCCTGACTCCAGCAGAAAGAGCAAGAATTCACTCTTCCTCCACTATTTGTTACATCAAGGTCCCCAGCTGATTGGATGGTACCCACCCACATTGAGGGCAGATCTTCCTCACTCAGTCCAGCTACTCACATGCCAATTCTCTCAGGAAACATTTCACAGACACATTTGGGGCATCCCAATCGTTCTAATCAAATGCCAAACCACCTGGGTTTTTCTTTCAGCAGAAGAGGGATGGGCTTAGTGCCTCTTAAAACACTGAGAATAATTAATGCTTTACCTGCCATCTGGGTACCCCTTGATGCAGTCAAGTTGCACCCAAAATCAACCCTCATAAACCCCAAGCTAGTCTCTCCTTTCCCTGTTCTTATCACATTTTTTTATTTGCTTGGGAGTCACTTGATCTTCCCAGGAAGGATCATTATGTGAGTAATTAATTTTTTAATATCCTTTTAGTGTGTGTGTGGTGTCATCAGTTTTGACATCGAAACCAACAGGGTCCACCTTGTTTCTACAGCAGGTCAATAATACCATAAAAGCAATATCCAAAATACTGTTAGAGTAGTTAAACTAATATTAGACAAAATAGACTTTGAGAAAAAAAACTATTTCACTAGAGATTAACAAGGTCATTTTATAATGATAAAAGATTTAACTCATTAGGAAAATATAGCAATTATAAATAAATATACATAATGTATTTTATATGTATATCTAACAACAGAGTCCTGAAATACATAAACCAAGACAGAAGAAAAAGAAGAGATAATTCAACAAGGATTTTTCAATATCCCACTTTCGATAATGGATGGAACAATTGAGGTATAAGATCAACAAGGAAATAGATAACTTCAAGAAATATACACATCAATTACATCTAACAGACAACTAGAGAACACTTTCCCCAACAACAACAAATACACATTCCTCTCAGGTGCATATGGACTTCTCCAGAACATGCTTAGCTATACACAATACTCGATAAAATTAACAGGATTAAAATCATGCAAAGAATGTTCTGCAACTTCAATAAAGAAAGATTAAAATTCAACAACAAAAGAAAATTTGGGAAATTCATAAGTATATGGAATTAAACAGTACACTCCTGGGCAAGGCATGGTGGCTCATTCCTGTAATCCCAGCACTTTGGGAGGCTGAGGTGGGCGGATCACTTGAGGTCAGGAGTTTGAGACCAGCCTGGCCAATATGGTGAAACCCTATATCTACTAAAAATATAAAAACAAAAAAAAATAGCCAGGCATGGTGGCATGTGTCTGTAATCCCAGCTACTCACGAGGCTGAGGCAGGAGAATCGCTTGAACCCAGGAGACAGAGGTTACAGTGAGCCAAGATTGTGCCCCTGCACCCCAGCCTGGGTGACAGAGCTAGATTCCATCTCAAAAAGAAAAAAAACAAAAACAACAAAAAAACAGCACACTCCTAAATAACAAATGTGTTATGAGGAAATCACAAGGTAAATCAGCAAATACTTGAAAATGAATGAAAATGAAAAGACAAACATGGGATGCAGCTAATGCAGTGCTTAGAGGTAAATTTATAGCTAACGATGCCTATATTAAAAGAAAAAAGTTCTCAAAGCACTTTAAGAAACTAGAAAAAGCAGAGCAAATTAAATCCAAAGAAAGCAGAAGGAAGTGTAACAGAAACTACCATCCCTTCTTGAAAAACAGTTGTTTTTCTTCTTTTCCCCCCTCTCTTTCTATGCTGGGCTTTTACTAATGTTTAATTCATTTTTTTTGCTTAAATAACCCCATGAAGTAGCCTCGAAAACTAAGCACAGAATCACGGTTGTGGAACATTCCTCCCCAAGAAGAATGTGGAGCAGTTAATCTATATTTCTGCTGGAATCAAGCTGATGCCAGCCAGACCACCAGATGGCCCACTGCTCAAGAGAGTCATCAAGATCAGACATGCTTACCTGCATATAGTCAACCCCTGTGCGCAGTTTCTCTATATTCCCCCCACCCCACCATTAAAACCCTCCAGCCAGCTTGAAGAACTGAGATAGTCTTTGCAACACTAGTCTGCCATCTCTGTGGTTATGGTTCTTGAATAAGCCTGCTTTTTCTCCCACCAACTCTTGACTCTGGAGTTTGACTTTTGAGCAACAATGAGCCAAAGCTAGGTTCAGTTACAAAATAAAATAATAAAGATTATAGTAAAAATAAAACAAACAATAGAGAAAATCAACAAAACGAAAAGTTGATTTTCTGAAAAGATTAACAAAATTGCCAAACTTTAGTTAGACTAACCAATAAAGAAAGGGAGAAGACGCAAATTGCTAAAAATAAAAAATGAAAGAGGAGATTATCTGTCAAAAAGACAGACAACAAGTGTTGATGAGGATGTGAAAAAATTAGAATCCCCATACATTGCTGGTGGGAATGTACAACAGTACAGCCTCTTTGGAAAATAGTCCTTGAAATGCTAGGCATAGGGTTATGATATGATCCAGCAATTCTACTTCACAGTTTACCTCTCCCCCCAAATGAAAATGTATGTCCACAAAAAACTTGTGCATGAATATTTGTAGCAGCATAAGTATAATAGAAAAAATGGAAAAGGCCAGGCATAGTGGCTCACATCTGTAATCCCAGCACTTTGGGAGGCTGAGGCAGGCAGATCACCTGAGGTCAGGAGTTCGAGACCAGCCTGTACAACATGGCGAAAGCCCGTCTCTACTAAAAATACAAAAATTAGCAGGACGTGGTCATGCACGCCTATAGTTCCAGCTACTGGGGAGACTGAGGCAGGAGAATCGCTTGAAACCGGGAAGAGGAGGTTGCAGTAAGCCGAGATCATGCCACTGCACTCCAGCCTGGGAGACAGAACAAGACTCTGTCTAAGAAAAAAGAAAAAAAATGGAAAACAACACAATTGTCTATCAACTGACATCCATACAATTGAATGTTATTGGGCAATAAGAAACAGCAAAATAGTAATACATGCTACAACATGGATAAATCCTGAAGTCATGTTAAATGAAAGAAGCCAGACACAAAGTTATACATTGCATGATTTTATTTATGTGAAATGTCCAAAACAAGCAAATCCTTAGAGACAGAAAGCAGCTCAGTGGTTTCCTCGGTCTGGGACAGGGGGATAGGGAGCAAAAATGGAGAATGACTGTTAATTTGTATGGGGTATCTTTCTGGGGTGTTGAAAGTGTTCTAAAATTATATTGTGGTGATGGTTGCACAACTTCAAGAATATACTCAAAACCACTCAAGTGTACAATTTCAATGGATGAATTTTAAAGTGTGTGAAATGTACCTCAATAAAGATATAAAAAATAATACAAGTATAATGAATGTTAATAAAGGAAAAGAGCAGTTGACAAAGGAGCACAGAACAAAGGGCCCTAATCTAGACTGCTGTGTGTGAGGGGGTGGGGGGCAGTGAGATGAGGAGGGCTCAGAGAAAACATTCCTGAGCACATAACCTGTGAAAAGGGACTTGAGGATAAGAGGCAGTTAGTCTTGTAGGTGAAAAGGGGCAAGGATGATGGTAGCTGCTAAAGATTGTCTCACACTAATAGATGAGCATATTTGAAGATCTGAGGACAAAACACAGAATATGGCACCTCCACTTGAAGCAGCTAGACTGAAGGAGGGAGTGGTTGGAGAGGAGGCAAAAAGCAAGTAAGGGCCAGGACTTGCAGAGTCTCATACACCATGTTAAGAATCCTGAACATGATCCCAGTGGAAAATAAGAAGTAATTGAAGCATTTTAAACAGAAAAGTTACATGATCAAATCTGTACTTTAGGGAGATCATTCTGACTCTGAGTGGAACATAAATGCAGATGGTCATGAATAAACCAAAGGAGATAACTTGTGAGGTTATCTGAGCAGCCCAGATAAAAAGGTGATGAAGAGAGGTTGGGTGGCTATAAACAAATTTGTCAAAATTTGGTGATAGTTACCAAGATTCTAGCTTGAGTTGTAAGTACGTACTGGTTTTATTTATTGAGAAAGGAAAGGTGGTGAAAAGGGAAGTTTAAAAGATTAGATGAGGGCCAGGCATGGTGGCTCACACCTGTATTTCCAGCACTTTGGGAGGCTGAGGCAGGAGGATTACTTGAGCCCAGGAATTAGAGGTCAGCCTGGGCAACATAACAAGATCTCATCTCTACCAAAAAATTGTTTAAATTAGCCAGGCGTGGTTGGGTCCACCTGTGGTCCCAGCTACTCAAGAAGCTAAGGTGAGAGGATCACCTGTGCATGGGAGTTCAAGGCTGCAGTGAGCCATGTTTACATCACCGCACTCCAGCCTGGGTGACAGAGTGAGACCATGTCCTCCCCCCCCACAAAAAAAATAAGGAGGGGATAAAATGAGAATTTAGTTTAGGACAGTCTGAGTTGGTCTTTCTAGGTAATTCAGGAGTGACATGTGAGAAGATAGAAGGACATAGGGAAGATGGCTGGGGAGAATCTACATGCTTAAGGGGTGACCAGAGGAGATGGAGAGGAAAAGTTGAACTGAGAAAGAATGTTCAGGAAGGACAGATGAATACTAGGGGAGTATATGTCATAGAAACCTGAAGAATTTCAAAAAGGGGGAAATGATCAACAATGTCAAATGCAGTTGAGGTCAGGAGAGATGAAAATAAAAAAAGTATTCTTTCAATTAGCACAAGAAAATTGCTGCAAACTCAGGAGAGAAGTTCCCGTGAAGCTGGAGGTGGGTCAAATTGGAGTAGATTGATTGAGGAGGCAGTTGGAAAGAAAGCGAACTGAAGTGGTGTAGTTAAAAAATCTTCCGGAGGTTTGAACTACTGGAGAGGAATTAGGGAATTAAGAGAATGAGTTTCTTTGTTTTTGAATTAAGAGTGACTGATGCATATTTAAATGTTTATGCAAAAGATCAGTATAGAGAGAAGTTGGCTGGACAGAAAAAAATAATTAGTAGAGCAATTTCCTTGAGAGAGCAGGAATACATGTGACTAAAAGCAAAGGTAAAGGTAAATAAATTGGTCTTAGGTAAGAGAAACTGATATTACCTCCTTTCTTACTAGAATGGAAATGAAGAAAGTTGGATGAGGTCTGTGTATTAGTCTGTTCTCACACTGCTACAAAGATATATCTAAGACCGGGTAATTTATAAAGAAAGATTTAATTGACTCACAGTTCCACATGGCTGATGAGGCCTCAGGACATTTACACTCATGGCAGAAGGGGAAGCAGGCACATCTTACATGGCAGCAGGCAAGAGAGCAGGTGTAGGAGGAACTTGTCAAACACATAAAACCATCAGATCTCGTGAGAACTCAATCATCCCAAGAACAGCATGAGGGAAATTGCTCCCATAATCCAATCACCTCCTACCAGGTTCCTCCCTCAACACCTAGAGATTACAATTCAAGATTAAATTTGTGTGGGGACACAAAGCCAAACCATGTAAGTTTGTATAGACTTGGTACTGTTAAATTGAGGGACTTCCTGAACAAAAGTTTCTCTTTTACACACAAGGTGGAAGATGGAGACCTTTTTGGAAAATGAGAAGTATTGGTGAAGAGTGGTGGAAGTCTGAGGAAGATGAAAAATATTTGAAATAGTAAGTTTGAACATGAAAGAATGTGATAACTTGAGTAACTACTCGGCAGCCTTGAGGGCCTAGATAGGACTGGGGAGCTGTGTCTGATGATGTGACATTGGTCAGCCTGGTGGTGTGATTTTCCCCAGCAGTGTCCAGCTGCCCACATCCTTGCAGCGGCGTGGACAGCTGGCTTAATCGGAGGCTGTGATTTTGCCACATGGCTATTTGTAGAAGCACAACATGGGAAGTAAGTGATGGAATTGATGCGTAAAGGATCTATGTTAGAGAGGAAAACAGGACCATGAATAGGCTAATGAATAGTAGAAAATAGAATGATCAGACTATAGAAACATGTAAATTTGGAAAGCAGGCATACTGTGAATATGTGAGAGTGGGATATCTGAATTAATGATATCAGTGGTAGAGGGGGTAAGCAAAGTTGAATTTTGGCTTGTGTAAAGAGGGAATCAAAGGAGTCTTAGACTATTCAGGATACTGTAACAGAATACCATAGACTGGGTGGTTTATAAGCAATAACAATTTATTTCTCACTATTCTGGAGACTGAAAGTTTGAGATCAAGGTGCTGACAGATTTGGTGTCTGGTGAGGGCCTGCTGCCTGGTTCACAGTCAGCTATCCTTTTGTTGTGTTCTCACATGGCAGAAAGGACAAGGAAGCTCTCTAGAGTCTCTTTTATAAGCGCACTAATCCCATTCATGAGGGCTCCAGCCCCATGACCTAATCACCTCCCAAAGACCCCATCTCATAAGACCAGTATATTGAGGATTAGGTTTCATCATACAACCTTTGGGAGGGCATAAATGTTCAGCCTATAGCAAAAGGCTATAGTTTTGTTTCTGATTTTGACATCAAGAAATATAAGTTTAAATAAAGCTATGTTCACATGCCTTTCTTCACTTCAGACAGGCCAAGATTAAAATGTTTGAAACTACTATGTTGGCAACAATGTGAAGCAACAGGCAATCTTATTTATACATTCCTAGTAACAACTTAGATTAACATAATCTTTAAGAAGGACAATTTGACAATATCAATCAAAATTAAAATGTGTATGCCCTTTGACACACCAGTTTCACTTGTAGAAATTTTACCTAAAAATAAGTTCGCATAAGTAAAAATTGTCAGATGTACAAAGTTGTTTTTTGAAACAGTTTGTGCAAGCAAAAAAATTGGAATCAGTCTAAATGCCCTTATACAATATAAGCAAATAGTTAAATAAATTATGATACATTCATATGATGGAATTAAAAGAATTCATACAAAATGAGGATGCTATTTTATGTTAATGTTGAACAAATTCTAACATAGCTATTAAATGAAGCAGGAGAATGTGTGCAGTATGTGATTAGTTGTGTATAACGAGGAAAAGAAGGAAAAAATATATTTACATATATATATATAATTGAAAAGGCATAACATACTATATTTAGAGACACTCTAGAAGTGAAAACATTATTCACCTTTAGAAAGAAGAATTCGATTGACCAGAAAACAAAGATAGAAAATTAGTCACCATAAATATGTTTATACATTTTGATTTTATAATCATATTATTAAATTTCAAATTCAATTAATTGGTTAACTAATTAATATGTATAGTTAATTACATATTTTATACATGTAAACCATTGGTAGACTTTAATTTAGAATTTTGTCCTATAAATCACTGTATGTGTGTATATTAAACAAAAGACAGAAAACAAAGAAAATATCGAAAAATATTTTAAATTTTAAAGTATAAAAAAATTGCCAAAGCAAAGGAAAACATATCAGTTACAACAATAAGTGTAAGTGGGTTAGGTTAGTCTTGTTTATAATTAATAAAAATGATAACAATAATAATATACTATATATTAAGCTTTCAAATACTGTGGTTAAAAGGTTTAAGTAAACTATTTTGTTTAATCCTCAAAGCAACCCTATGAAGAAAATACTTTTATTATGCCTTTTAATGACATGAAGTAAATGAGAGTGAAGGGGGTTAATTAATTGCACAAGAATACATAGCTAAGAAATCAGCAAAGGTTGATTCTAATATTAAGTATAGAATTATAAACCTGTTAAAGGAAAATACTCCCACATTGAGTTAAAGAATAATATACCATATGCTACTTACAACTGTAAACAAAATCACTAAAAATAAAAGAAATTATAAAGATATATGTTAGATAAATATAATAAACATAAGTAATGACTGGCAATAGTAGGCACACAACCAATTTTTTTTGAAAATAGGAAAGGAAGAAAGTGAAAAAGGAGGAGGTGGAGAAAAAAGAGGAAAGGGAGGAAGAAGGAGGGAAGAAACAGAAGGATTAATAATAAAGAAGAATTACTTTATATTTCGATAAAGGTCGTCTAGGTAATTTGGACCAACCATCTCTCTGAAGACTACTGAAAAAACAATAAATTAATATTAAAAGCATAAAAGAGCCAACAATATAGTGGGAAATGGTTTTGCCCATGTTTGGAAGGTCAAAGGAGGAAACCCAATTTTCTAAAACACTTTTGCCTGGAGGATTTTTGCAAATCCAGAAGCAAAGGATTTCAACAGATTTGTGGGGAAGGAATACAATAGCTAAAGTTAGCCCAGGTGGGAAATCCACATCTGATAAGACTTCCAAAAGGCTACAGCTTCAGAGTTAGTGGGAACTGAACGCAAACAGCTCTAAGGCAGACTTATGGCCTGGATACGCATCACCTGAACAGCCCAGAAAACCTCAAACCTTAATGGCCCCAAAGCTGTAGAACCTACTAGAAATCAATGATATGAATAACATATTTATCAGTATACATATCTCATTATATATTATGATGTACATATTATGATGCAACACATATAACTGTACTTTTAAAAATATATTTATATTTAAAATATTCTAAAAATATACCTATATAATATAATTATCCTATATATTATCTTACATGATTATATAATTAGGCACATAAGGAACAAGAACAGAAGAAATAAGAAACAACTAAAATAAATCCACAAAGACTTGAGATAGTAGAATCATCAAAATTTATATCTTATGAAATAACTAGGCTTACTATGTTTAAGATTAGGGAAAACATGCTTGGAAATATCTGCAGGGAGACAAAGGAAAAATAAAAACAACTCTAAAAACCAATTGATCCTAAGTGAATTAATGCAGGAACATAAAACCAGATACCACATGTTCTCACTTTAAGTGGGAGCTAAGCATTGAATATATATGGACACAAAGAAGGGAACAATAGACACTGGGGCCTACTTGAAGGAGAAGGGTGGCAGAAGGATAAGAATGGAAAAACTACCTATCAGATACTATGCTTATTACCTGGGTGGAAAAGTAATCTGTACACCAAACCCCCATGACACACAATTTACACATGTGACAAATCTGCACATGTGCCCTCTGAAATTAAAATAAAAGTTGGGAGGAGGCGGAGCCAAGATGGCCGAATAGGAACAGTTCTGGTCTACAGCCCCCAGCCTGAGCGACACAGAAGACGGGTGATTTCTGCATTTCCAACTGAGGTACCGGGTTCATCTCACTAGGGAGTGCCAGACAGTGGGCACAGGTCAGTGGTTGCGTGCACCGTGTGCGAGCTGAAGCAGGGCGAGTCATTGCCTCACTCGGGAAGCGCAAGGGGTCAGGGAGTTCCCTTTCCTAATCAAAGGGGTGACCGACGGCACCTGGAAAATCGGGTCACTCCCACCCGAATACTGCGCTTTTCTGTCTGGCTTAAAAAACGGCGCACCACGAGATTATATCCCGCACCTGGCTCGGAGGGTCCTACGCCCACGGAGTCTCGCTGATTGCTAGCACAGCAGTCTGAGATCAAACTGCAAGGCGGCAGCGAGGCTGGGGGAGGGGCGCCCGCCATTGCCCAGGCTTGCTTAGGTAAACAAAGCAGCTGGGAAGCTCCAACTGGGTGGAGCCCACCACAGCTCAAGGAGGCCTGCCTGCCTCTGTAGGCTCCACCTCTGGGGGCAGGGCACAGACAAACAAAAAGACAGCAGTAACCTCTGCAGACTTAAATGATTTAGAAAATGTGGCACATATACACCATGGAATACTATGCAGCCATAAAAAATGATGAGTTCATGTCCTTTGTAGGGACATGGATGAAATTGGAAATCATCATTCTCAGTAAACTATCACAAGAACAAAAAAACAAACACCGCATATTCTCACTCATAGGTGGGAATTGAACAATGAGATCACATGGACACAGGAAGGGGAACATCACACTCTGGGGACTGTTGTGGGGTCGGGGGATGGGGGACGGATAGCATTGGGAGATATACCTAATGCTAGATGACGAGTTAGTGGGTGCAGCACACCAGCATGGCACATATATACGTATGTAACTAACCTGCACAATGTGCACATGTACCCTAAAACTTAAAGTATAATAATAAAAAATAAAAAATAAAAATAAATAAATACATATTAAAAAAAAAGTTGGAAAGAAAAATAATGACCAAGAGGGAATAAAATGAGAAATAAGAACTCACATTAAAACAAAGCCCCATAAATGAGGTTTAAAATGCCCTACTCTGTTTAGATCAAAGAAAGAATAAAAATACCAAATTAAAACCTAAGAAATCATTAAATATTGGTTTAAGATGCCATCTAGTTAGTATCTCTTAGTGTAGCTTTTCCAAACTTTTCCAAAATATAGCTTTGAAGGCCCAGAACAAGACACAATAAAATAGAAAAGTGAGGCTGATGGGCAATGTAATGTCAGTATCTGGAGGGTATATCCACAACCTATTCAGCTGATGGAACTAGAGAAAAACCCACTCAGGCATCCCTTCACTTATTTATCCAGGTGTTGCCCAGAAAACAGAAACAATTTTTCCAAGATATTAAGAAAATATTTTATATCTTCAAGACGGCCTCTGGATCCAAATATCCAATGAGACCAGACACTCATACATGTCTAGTTTTCTATTCCCTACAAATCTCCAGTTTTGCTTACAGCAGCAATTTGTCCAGCTAAGATTGTTGCTTTGCACCCATCTTGCAATTAGGATGGGCCTTCTGACCTCATTCTTGCAAATTAATGTGAGCAAGAATTAAATAGGTAGGACATCTAGGAAAATGTTTAAGTGGCAGATTCTCATTGCATATGCTTTTGCTTATTGCATTTGCCTTTTCCTCTTCTTCCTGCTTGTCTGGAGATGTAGCCACCGTCTTATAGCCATAAGGACAAAAGCATCATGGTAAAGATGGTGGAACAGAAAGACAGAAGAGCTACCATTGCTTCTTCATGACAGATCTGAACGCTGATTTTGTGGCCTTTTTGTTACATGAAAAGTAAACAAAAGTAAACAAGTAACAACACTTGCCTATGTGTTTAAAGCCACTGTTGGTTGTTTTCTGATACTTAAAGGTGAATTCTTTCATAACTGAAGGTCAAGACCTCAAAGAAAACTCAAGAGTTATCTTTGTACCATGCGAAGGCTGCCTTCTGAGTGGACAAAAGACCTCTGTTCTTTCCCACTACTGCCACTTCAACATCCACTGCCCACATAACACACTTAAATTCCTCAGCCTAAATTCAAAGTTCTCTATAATTGAACAGTCCTCCCCGTTCAGTTATTTTGCTGAATAGTGCTTATAGTTCATTGATCGTGTTTCTGCCAAAAGAACTTCTTCGTAAGTTCTCAAAACCCAGTCACTCCTGACCCCCAGGCTTCTTTCTCGCTCCTGTAAAATTTCCCTCATTGTCTTCTTCACTCTCTTCTATGAACTGTCTTTGTATTTACCAGCGATTTCACTCATTTTCTCAGTTAATGATACACCCCTCTACAATGTTATTTGTTATTTACTTCATTTGCATATAGCCTTTTTTTTTTTTTTGAGATGGAGTCTCGCTTTGTCGCCCAGGTTGGAGTGCAGTGGTGCAATCTAGGCTCACTACAGCCTGTGGCTCCCAGGTTCCAGCGACTCTCCTGCCTCAGCCTGATGGGTAGCTGGGATTACAGGCACGTGCCACCATGCCCGGCTAATTTTTGTATTTTTAGTATAGACCGGGTTTTACCATGTTGGCCAGGCTGGTCTCGAACTCCTGACCTTAGGTGATCTGCCTGCCACGGCTTCCCAAAGCACTGGAATTACAGGCGTGAGCCACCACACCCTGCCCATTTGTAAATCTCCTATATTTTCAACCAGACTGAATATTTCTAGATACACCTCCTTCAACATCTAGTACAGTTCCATAGACAGGACACATCTAACATTACTGGATAAATGAATTAAAAAGTGATGTGTAAATAAATCTTTTCACATTCTTGATTATAGTGATGATGATGCAAGTTTCTTATCAGAAGGCTTAACTTCCATGTCTCACATCTTGCCCATTTTTACTTACTCCAAAAGAATATGAGGCATAATGTGATAATGCATCCTGCTGAGTAACCTAGGCAACCCCAGAATGCCATCCTTCAGAATATTGGATACCTGCTGTTTCTCACCCTCTCATGAAACTTTCTGTAAAAATAAAGAAAGAGGCATTACTGTGTGCCATCATTCTCTGCTTTCATCCACATGAATTTTATAATATTAAAATGATTCTAGAAATTTGGATGTTAAAAATATTTTGAAATTGATTATATGTTACACGCTGAAGTGCAACAAAATAATCTGGTGCATTTTCCAAGTGGAATGGAGAGAACTGTCACTGTAATTGCTATTTCAGTTTTAGTCTCTTCAATGTATAATTAGGCTCATTTACTAATGGCAACTAATACTTGTTAGGCAATTACATTTACAGGGGGCTTGCATGACTTTTTCCTCATTTATACCTATCAACGGGGTAAGATTACAATTGCCACTATTTATATATAAAGAGCTCAGAGGTGTTAAGTGATTTACAGTAAGTGCTGAAACAGAAAACTGTTCACAGGTTTTATGATTCTAAATCTAAAATGCATTTCATTATTCCCTTTGAACTTCAAAGGAAGAGCTTCCCTTGAATGTTAAATTTAAGATCAGGAATAATAAGGTCATTCTATGTGTTTCAGGTCCTTAGATAATCTAACCACTTCCTTCGTTTTTTGTGAAAGAAGGCATTACTATCTGGAACAATATTTAATAGCACAGTACTGGAGGTAAATAACTGGGTTTGAAGCCTTATTAGCTATAACATGCCAGGGAAGTTCCTTAACCTCTCTGTGCCTCAAGTTCCTAATTATGAAACTGATGCAATAAGAGCACTTATCTCCTGATATTTATGTGAATGATAAAGTGCTTACCACAATATCTCATTAGTCATTTTACAAAATATTATTTATTACAATTATTTTCCTTAACATGACTCCTCTTGAATTTTTAATATTTATTGGTTATAATATACTTGGCATATTATCTATATGTCTCATTTACTTCTCCAGATATTCAGTCCTGCAAGGTAAATGCTATTATTCCCATTTTACAAGTAAGGATAAAGATATGGAAGTTGAGAGTACATTCAGTAGCACATCTAAGGTTTTATGCCTAAACTTGCTTAGCTTCAACTCTTGTTCTTTCCATCTCTCTGTACTGCCTCTTTGGTTGGACAAATGAATCAAATTTCAAATGGGCCTTAGTTTAATAAAGGCTTGTAGATGGTGTGTACAGCGTTCCCCATGGACAAAGAGCTGTACTCCCCCAGCATGGGATCAGAGCACATTTGTGCTCAGACAATGCACAGACTGAATCAGGACTACATGTGCTGCCCAAGTATGGTCCCAGGAGGAAGTTTTCTATTCATCTCAGCTTCTCTGATCATTTTATGGAACTCCAGTGAGCCACTGCTTTGGGACAGTGATTCTCTTACTCTTAGCTGAAGATTAATATGGGAGATTAATTTATGCCAAAGGAGAATAGTGAGCTTATTATCTCCTTTCCTCCACTCTGCCTTCATCCAACACAAACAATTCTAGAAAATCTACTGGATTAAGAAGAATATAACCTAATAAATTTAGGTGTCTTATCTTTCATGTAATAATAAAAATCTGAACAACTTGAGAAGGGTTCTGAAGGCGATAGGAAAAATGTAACCCACACAACTATAGAAATAAGAGCAGATATTTTTCAGAGTATGAGAACAGATTGGAGGTAATAGGAGGTTTTCTTTGGATAGGTTTAGGGATTAAGATTACAGTGGGTAGGCCGGGCACAGTGGCTCATGCCTGTAATCCTAACACTTTGGGAAGCTGAGGCAGGAGGATTGCTTGAGCCCAGGGGTTTGCGACAAGCATGGGCCACATGGCAGAACCCTGATTCTACAAAAAGTAAAAAAATTAGCTGGGCTTGGTGGCATGCACCTGTAGTCCCATGTACTTGGGAGGCTGAGGCTCGGGAAGTCGAACCTACAGTAAGCCATGATTGCACCACTGCACTCTAGCCTGGGTGACAAAGTGAGACATTGTCTCAAAAAAACAAAAATTATAGTAGGTATAAATCCTGGTCTCTAAATGTAGGTGTTTAATATAGGTGCCTTTCTATATTTTCTTTTAATTAAATTAAATCTGACCTTGAGTTCCTATCTCATACATTTGACACGAAACTGAATTTCAGAAGTGCTAGAGTCTAAGAAGCACCTGGTCTACAGTGCCCAGAAGATAGAGAAAATACCTCTAGCCTCTCCTCTATTAAGGCTACCATGGACACCCTCATCGAAGCCCATGCATCTTTTCTCTGGACTACTGTGTGTTTGACACAGGAATCTTTGCCTAGGCCAAGAACGGCAATAGATTCAGTCCAACATCCTTAGGTACATCATATGGCCATCCTTTTCCAGGTCTTATCTCCTCAGGGCAACAACACTAAGTGGCAGGATATCCCTGCTTGCTCCACTTCAATCCTCCTATCCTCTAACTTGTTTCATAGTCTAAAAATGCCCTTCCTTCTCCCTTCCAATTTCCCTTGCTCATTTCAAAGGTGCTCCCTTCTCCTTTGGTTGCCCTCAAAAGCAATAACCAGAACTTCACTAAGTTTAAAGAAATTTTGAAAACAACACTGAACAGCAAAATTTTACTCTCTCTATATATATATACATATATATATATATATAATTTTCTATTCACTATAATTTTCTATTCACTATGTATACAGTGAATATAAAATTTCACTATATATACCTACAAAATTATAATTATTTATTTTTGTAGAGATGGGGTCTATGTTGCCCAGGCTGGTCTCAAACTCCTGGCCTCAAGAGACCCTCTTACCTCATCCTCCCAAAGTGCTGGGATTACAAGCGTGAACCACTGCACTTGGCCTATGTCCACTCTAAAATATTAGGTGAAAACCAGCATGGTACAAAATTGTGGGTGTCACATAATAAACTTTCATTTAAAATTTTTGTACAAATTTATATGTAGAAAATTAAAAATAAAAAAAATACATCAGCCCAGATGCAGTGGCTCACGCCTGTAATCCCAGTGAGGCAGGCAGATTGCTTGAATCCAGGAGTTTGAGACCAGCCTGGGCAACAGGGCAAAACCCCCATGTCTACAAAAAATTAAAAAATTACCTAGGCGTAGTGGTGTGCACCTGTGGTCCGGATACCTAATAGGCTGAGGTGAGAGGATCACTGAGCCCAGGGAGATTGAAGGTGCCGTGATTGCACCACTGCACTCAGGCCTGGGTGATAGAGTGAGACCCTGTCTCAAAAAAGAAAAAAAATCAAAGTGCAAAAGCTGGAAAAACATATCAAAATTCTATTTTCATCTTTAGACATGTTTTTACATTATTTGTTTTAACACTTGTCAGAATGTTGCAGTGGGTATTATAACTGAAGCTCAAAGATACAACAGAAGCCCAGAAGAAGAAGCATGTAACTTTACTTGAGGAGCTTATGGAAGTTTTCAAGAGATTTAATTTGAACTGAGAATTGCAAAATGAGGCAGCATCAGAATCCAAGGCTCATGACATCATGAGGTAGACTGGCTTTCCAGGTAACGGGCTAAACTGGTATCCATTCATTCTCTCAGATATTGTCATAGGTTTAGTCCTTTGGGAAGAAAACATCAAGACAAAATTAAATATACTTTATTGCTGTTCTGAGAATGTCTAAGCCATGCCTAAGGGGAGTCCAAGAGCAAAGACTGCCTATCAGAGAAGTCCTGCATTGCATCAGGCAGGAATGGCCTCCTCACAGACCCTCCACCAGGCTCATTCACAGGTTAGAAGCATTCCTTGGAAGTTCTTGTTTTTGATTTACTATCTTGGCCAGAAGGGTAAGGAGGGGTCAGTTTCAGAGACTTCCCTACTATGACAACTCTTAACCTTACAAGCCAAGGAGCCATTGTGGTAGTTGCTCAAATAGCCAAGTATTTTGTCCTTTACTATTAATTTGATAACTAGAAAATGTCTACAAACCCAATGTACACTAAACTTCAGCCAGTCTCCATTTATCACCTGTCTCCCATAAGCTTCCATTCTAAGAGGAGAATCATTAGCATGCTTTGGGTCTCTGGGTACTAATATCAACTCAGAATCTGTGTCCAATAGTTCTCAAAATATCTGGGTATCCTCCTTTTCCCAGTGTACCTGAGTAAACGGCTGTAGGCAGTGGAGTGCTGGTTAAGTATTTTAACAACTAGCTCAGGGGGTAAGGAATACTAAGAGGAGAATATCCTCTTTCATAGTGTTTGCTAATTTCCATGGTATAAATACTCCTACTTTGATAAATTTCAAGCTTCTATCAAGTAACCGGAAAAAGATACAGTTAACTCTCTGAACCCGGTAAGAGTCAGCTCCAGCACACCACTCACTAGGTTCCTTTGGGGCAGAACTTGAGTGTTGCAGAGTCCTTCCCCCATAACCCAACCATCTCTTTATTTACTGAGTTCTGAATCTGAAAATTGGCTCAAGTTCAGGAACTGAGCCAAGCCCTGAACATGCTTTTCCTCCATTCTCCCATTCTTCTGATTATAGATATTAGTAGCATCCTTGTTGGTTGCCCATCTATTTTGCCCCTAGGGACACCAAGTTCAATTAAGCATCTCCACAACTCTCTGTGGGTCAAGCTCCCTTGGCTGCCCCTTTTACATTACCAGTTGTTATGGTAATTACAGCTGCCTGGTCTCTACTGGGTAAGCACTGACAACTCTTCTATTATTTGGGGGCTCTATCATCCCATTGCCATTAATGAACCTAACTCTGTGACTGCTTCTCCTTCCATCATCTCTAGTCTATAGGGAAACCCACAGCTGAACTTATTATTGATGCTGTGACTTCACACAGCACATCTCTGATGGCCTTGGTGGAGATGGTGTCCTCTGGGCCTTTCTATAGAGCCTAATCCTATGGTGAGTCCGTTAGCCTCACAAAACGTATCTATGCCAGAGTGCCAACTCCTTGAGCCTTTTGATTCCTGCCTCTATTATCTGCCAGGACAACTCAGGCATTTCTATTTCACTCAGAATGAACCATCACTTTCTCCAACTGCTAAGTGTCACCCTAGAAGTAAATTTGCCTCATCCTCTAGCATCTTTGCCAGAGTTCAATACTGTGTCTTGAGAAAGTGCCTCCAAGTCATTGAATTCTTGCTTATTCAGTCTTATGTTGGTGATCTCTTAATCAGGCACCCTCAAAACCCAATGTCATGCATATTGTCTTGTCTTCTGCTAGGCATAACAGCTAACACTTGAAGCTCCCTTGTGAATGTAATCTTCTCTTCCTTATCATGCTCCAGCTCATCTCTGTCCAGGTTATGTTGATATTCAATCCTCAGTATATTGCTGGCAGCAAGCAGAAGAGGTGGGGGGAATCTTCTGAGGGGTCACCTTATGACAGGGGAAGCCTGCATTGTTTTCTCACACTAGGGGAGTTCTAGCTTTTGTTAGGGAGAGGCCAGCTGCCCCTGGCTCTCAGTTCAGAGAAGTCTGTAAGCCAATTTTTTAAAAAGTACATGGCCCACATGTTCCTATCCTGTATTTTGGTGGTCCCAGGTTTTCCCAATCAAGGCCTTGACCTTAGCATAAGGTCAAGCCCTGACCCTTCTGGGCTGAGCAGTTAAAATTCACAGGAGCTCTGCAATTCTAACTATTGAGGCCTGAGCACACTCCTCAGCTGCACCCACTCTTTACTGCATGAACTAAGGGCCAAAGAGTCCTGCTGGCTCTCACATGTAGACTTTACAATTTATTAACTACTCTCATTTTTCACTCTCTCTGTTAAGCATCAACACAACTTATTAATTACCAGCCAACCTCCCTGTTCCTATAGACATTTTTCCATTTATACCTTTCAAATGTCTGAATCATCCTACCATTAAGGGCATTCCTAGCCACCAGGGCTTTCTTCTAAATGGGTGTTGCTGAAAGCTTAGCCACTGGCCTTCCACCTGGTGCCAGGGGTTATCCATGCCCCCCAATCTACATGAAATGGAGTTCCCCTCACAGCTAGACAATGAGCCAGTCCTTAAGCCCATCTTAAAACCTGTTTTGTTGGACTACTGCTGATACCATTAATATAGTTCCCAAGAAGTAGATGCCCAGATGTAATAAGGTACACAAGAGATGTATTGAGGGTGTGGGAGATTCCAGTGAAAAACAAAAGGAGAGGTAGCAGGAATAGGTGTATGCAGTGAAAGCAATAATGAACTCATCCTTGGGCAGACAGTGTGAGGATGCCTGCATGCGGAGGAATTTCTTTTTCTTTTCTCTCTCTTTTTTTTTGAAACAGAGTCTCGCTCTGTTGCCCAGGCTGGAGTGCAGTGGCACGATCTCAGCTTACTGCAACCTCCACCTCCCGGGTTCAAGCGATTCTCCTGCCTCAGCGCCCACCACTACGCTCAGCTACTTTTTGTATTTTTAGTAGATATGGGGTTTTACCATGTTGTCCAGGCTGGTCTCGAACTCCTGACCTCATGTAATCCACCTGCCTCGGCCTCCCAAAGTGCTGGGATTACAGGCGTGAGCCACCGCGCCTGGCTGGCTGTGAAGGAATTTCTTTAAGTAAACCCTAGTTGTGCTTTCTGGGAAGAATTCTCTCACCCATTGTTTTCCGTGGACCTTCACTTGGCTCTCTGATAGAGATAAGCACTTCTTTGACTACTACCTCCCATCTTGCATCTAAAAATGACTACTACAGGACTATGCCTTTCCTGAGGGATATTCATCTTTGGGATAAATTTGAAAGCCCAAAGTTTGTTTAAACAGTCAAAAGCTTTTTCAGACTAGGCTCAGGGTTTTCTTTAGCAATATAATTCACTCAAAAATGTTCGGATTTTGCCAGCTGCATGTACTAACATTCTTGCCTTCTGCTATTTCCTTGCTCTCTTGCCCCTGTGCCTCTCTCTTACCTTAATTGGCCTCCAATAAGGCCATCTGAATAGATGCTTGACTGGCATCTCCATATTTCAATGTGCTTTTCTTGTAGGTAGTTCCTTTTCTTTGACCAGGAAGTCTTCTCAGGAGGCACTTGAGCTATAGATGTCTTATCTCCTGCTATGTGAGATGCAGAAGCTTTTCCAAACCAGAAAAGAGTAGGTAGACATGGTCCTAAATGTCTGTACTTTCTTCCCTTCCATCTTTGCTAGCAAACCTATCAATTTTTGACTAGGTTCTTCATCTTTTTTTATACCTTGATAAAAGCAAAAAGGAGCAGCCAACACAGGAAATTTTCACTTTTTTCCAAATACTTTCCTTAGAGCTTTAAGTTAGGTAAGCACTTGTTCTTGCCCTCTGATTTATTACAAGCAATTGACTTGCAAAACATTTGACCACAGCATCCAAGAATTCCAGATTTCAAGTTTAACTGCTAATCTAATGTCACATAGTTTGGGTTTCTCTTATGACAATCTGACTGCAAGGTACTAACTGCTGAAATAGTAACGGTGGTCTGCACTGTTAAGAATAAAAGAATCAAAAAAAATCTTAGGGACTATAGATTTTCATTTCTTAAGGACTATAGATGTTTATTTATTATAGAACATTCATGAAACATTCTAGGGAGGGTGTTGCAGGGGGTTAGCAATTAGTAGCTTTATAACCTTCAGCATGTGACTTCCAAGGTGGCTCTGGTCATCAACATTTAAGCCTAAAGAGCATGGAGGTGCACACATAGAAGTCTAAAGGAGACAGGTATGACTTCTGTTCACACAACATTTGTGAGAATTTAGTCATGTTAGATAAATCTAAGTGGTCTGGGGGAATATATTGCCATATAGCTTAGCTACAATTCTATTAGTATGAAAGAAGGTAAGAACATATTCTAATCGACAGCTTATTGTCAACCTTTTTTATGACTGTCAGGCATTTCAAATAGTTTTGTCCTCAATGCTAACATGTCAAAACAGAACTCATTCTTTTTCCCTCAATCTAGCTCTTCTTTCTGTCCTTTCTACATTTATTAATGGCACTACCATTTTTGTAGTTATCCCTGCACAATATTTGAGTTATTCTTGGCTCTTTCCTTTCTCTAGTTACCCTATCCAACAGGTTGCCAGGAAATTGTTTGTTCTGCCTGGCTTGTGTCCTCCACAATCTGTCTCTTCTTTTCTGTTTCCACATCACCAATTTAGTTCAGCCCTCATTACCACTCCAATTATTGTGATGACTTCTTGAGTTGTCTGCAAAGTTCCAAATGTTTCCCTATCTTCCATATAACCTGATGAATTAATCTTTCCAAAGTGCATCTCTGAACTACCTATTTTCTGTTCAATGGTTCTTCAGAGTCTGCTCAAAATTAAACACAAATTAGCCTGTTGTGCAATCTGAGTGGCCTTGTCTTCCATGCCTTTGGCTTTTACACCAAACTTTCCCAACAGGGTTAGCTGCCAATGCCAAAATATGTCCCGTGTTTTCCCACTTTCAAGCTTTTGCTTTTCTGCACCTTGAAATGTACTTTTACGCTATTTCTTGAGTTAGCATAGGTTGAAACATAGCCTCTGGGTACACGGTTTTGAACCTCAGCCCCACCACTAACTTTTTGACCCAAACAAGTTATTTCATATCTCTAAGCCTCTGTTTCTTCACTTATAAAAGAAGATAATGACAACCACTTCACACAAGGTTGTTATGAGAAATAAATACAATGACTTACATGGAGTGCCTGATGTATAATAAGTGCTTGACTAAGGTTCATTTGCTTTCTCCTTCTATCTGTTGAAATTGTGCCTGCTTGAAGTACAGTATTACCTCCTCCACTAAGCCTGTACATCACTAGTGATATCACAGGTAAATCCTCAAATACCAATGTGCTGTGGTTGGGCCTGCTTTCTGCACCTCTGCTATTGCTTTAAGAAAAGCATGTCATGGGTAGCTCATTAGTCCATGGAGAATAAAAAGCATATATAGTAGATCTGATCACAGCCTGTAGTTTGGAACCAAGCCAAGCCGAGGCCAGTCTGGTATAGCCAGAGCTTAGTCGACATATAAATGTGGGTCTGAGAATAAATGATTTGTTATCAAAACTACAATGAGATACCATCTCACATCAGTTAGAATGGTGACCATTAAAAAGTCAGGAAACAACAGATGCTGGAGAGGATGTGGAGACATAGGAACCCTTTTGTGTGATGATTCCTCAATGATCTAGAACCAGAAATACCATTTAACCCAGTAATCCCATTACTGAGTATACACCCAAAGGATTATAAATCATTCTACTATAAAGACACATGCACACATGTTTATTGTAGCACTATTTACAATATCAAAGACTTGGAACCAACCCAAATGCCCATCAGTGATAGACTGGATACAGAAAATGTGGTACATATACACGATGGAGTACTATACAGCCATAATAAAGAATGAGTTCATGTCATTTGCAGGGACATGGATGAAGCTGGAAACCCTCATTCTTGGCAAACTAACGCAGGAACAGAAAACCAAACACCACATGTTCTCACTCTTAAGTGGGAGCCGAACAATGAGAACACAGGGAGGGGAATATCACACACCAGGGCCTGTTGGGGGTGGTGGGCAAGGGGAGGGATAGCATTAGGACAATTACGTACGCAAGTGGGGCTTAAAACCTAGATGATGGGATGATGGATGCAGCAAACCACCATGGCACGTGTATACCTACGTAACAAACCTGCACAGTCTGCACATGTATCCCAGAACTTAAAGTTATAATAATAAAAAAGATGCAAAAAATAAAATAATAAATAATTTTTAAAAGAATAAATGATTTGTTGTCGTAGGCCATTGAATTTAGAGTGGTTTCTCAGGAAGCATCTTTGCAACAAAACCGATGGATACACGTTGTTATACTAAACATAATACACTCAACACACACTTAATAAATTGTTTAAAATTTGACTTAAATAAGTCACAATTACAATCATAATAGTGCTAAATATGCTCCCTTAAAGTTCTTCTTTCTTTTTTTGTTTTTAATGAGAAAATGGTATCAGAAGAAAAAAAAATAAGATCTTCAGATTTTTTTCATGTCAGAAACTTATGATTTAAAAACCAGCACTTCAATGAAGCTGTTTATCATCAATAAGTCAGTCATCCTGAAAATGGCAATAATCAATTAATGGCATTGCAGAGCACATAGAATAGGTAGTGTACTTCTCTTTAAGATAACTCATGTAGAACAGAATGGAAATTCAATTTAAATTGTACTTTGAAATTTTATGAAATTCTTACAACAAAAATGACAACAGCTAACATTTACTGACCACCTAATATACCACATACCAAACACAATACACTGCTATGTTCAAATACAATTTATAAATTAGTTCTGTGAAATAGGTATTATTTTCCCCCGAGTTTAAATTACTTGCCTCAGGTCACAAATGTAGTACAGGTCAGAGCCATGATGCAAAAACAGACATGCCTGACTCTGAAAATCATCTTCTTTCCCCTGTGCCACACACTGAGAAGAAAATTGAATTTATTGAGACTTAGTCAGAGGAGTTTCAAAAGTAACCTTACTTACAACTTTTTAAAAGTAAATTGTGTCAATTCTCTATATTTAGCTTTGATTAAACCTGGATTTGATATATACAGCCCACTTCTGTTTAACTAGAGGCCACTTTTTCAGCAATCTCTGAGATTCTGATGAGTTCATTCATCTACTCACTTAGTAAATAGAAAGTTATTGATCTTGAGCATGTTCCACATACTGTTTTGGAAACTAGGGAAATGAAAATGAGAACCCATGGTCTCTATCTGCAGGGAATTTACAGTCTAATTGGGAGATGGACATGCAAACAAATAATTACTCAAACTCAATAGCAATTAGAAAAATGCTAATTATGCAAGATTTATACCCATCAGATTGGCAAATATTAGAATGCTGTACAAGGCTAAGTGTTGGCAGGGATGTGAAAACTCCAAATGTGGGGGTCATGGTACTATAGTACAGTGTTGAGGTTTATTTTGATTATATTAAACTTTAAACATCTGGGTGAAGCCTAAGTGGAGATATCCAGTAGGAAATTGAATATAACAAGTTTAGAGCTCAAAGAGGTCTTTCCAATGAAAGTTTAACTGTAGGGGTTTTCCATGGTTAAGGCCATGGAAGCCAAGAACAAAACAAAACAAAAAAAAGCTGAAAGGTCTCTGAGCAGAGAAGTTTCAAAGTCTGGGCACAAAATCTCATGTCTGCAGTCAAAACTGGGTGAAACATGTTTATCATGAGTTATTACAATGCCAACCTAAAGAAAAGGAAGTGATTAAATGAGGTAAAGTGTTGGATGCAAATCTGCAAATGAGAGATTAAGTTTTGAGTCAGATGACCCAGGAGCTGAATCCATCTTCAGACTGAACAGCTTTCCTTTCTTTGGATTTTGAGTGTCTCTGAGAGGCTTTTTTTTTTTTTTTGAGGCAGAGTCTTGCTCTGTCACCCAGGCTGGAGTGCAGTGGCGCAATCTCGGCTCACTGCAACTTCTGCCTCCCGGGTTCAAGCAATTCTCCTGCCTCAGCCTCCTGAGTAGCTGGGATTACAGGCGCCCGCCACCACACCCAGCTAATTTTTTTTGTATTTTTAGTAGAGATGGGGTTTCACCATGTTGGTTAGGCTTGTCTTGAACCCCTGACCTCGTGATCCACCCGCCTTGGCCTCCCAGAGTGCTGGGATTATAGGTGTGAGCCACCATGCCCGGCCTCTGAGAGTTTTATGAAAACTACATGTCCTTCCCCAGAGCAAAGAAGAAATATATTTTCGAGAGTCATTTCAGAGTGTTATGCATCCTCTGATGAATCCCAGGTTCAAAATACCTAGCAAAGATTAATTGTTATTATGTGACTTACTTCTCTTTCAAACATTTTTTTCCTCTTCATCTGATCAAGTTTTTCCATAATCTGTAAACTGGTGGCAACGGAGTTCACTGCAGATGGTAGGAAAGGTGATCTTGACATCCAGGTTTATTTCATTGTGGAATAGACTCATGGCTATACTCGACTGTCTCATTAAGTTTTGAGTAAAAAGGGAGAACTAACCGATCTTGTACTTGTTCCTAGAAATCTATATAAAAAGAGCCCTAAGTTCTCTTTTTTCATTTTCTTGTCTTTGTGTTCATATGATGTGTTAGGCTTCTGTTTATAAAGCTATCTCCCAGACTCCATTTCTGAGGCCAGGTGGCATATTAATAGTGACAAAGAAACTGATCTTGTGCCTCCTGAATGAGGGTATTAAATGCCTAATTGAGGAACGTTACATAGCAGATTTAATTCCATGGGCTAGGTGACTGCCATTTCGAGTAATGATACAGTAAAAATCTGAAACCTTGATAATAAATGGTGAAAACTCTCTAGATAAAGAGTACCTTCCTCTCTCAAAAAATTATGAAAATTGATGATGGAAAAGGATGTTTAATCAATGAACTTGTTGATTGTCAGCTTCATACTATGCTTGAAAATATTTTTTCCAGTTCAGTTTTAAGTCTAAAATAATGGCTTTTTTACTTTTTCTCTTCTCTCTTGGAGTGGAGCCATTTACTTCTGATATTAATTATTTTAACAAATATCTAGAACATACTTTTACTTTCCTCTATCTATGAATAAAGTAACACAATAAAGTAAAAAGGGTACTAGATTGAAATTAGAATATCGGGGATCAAATCTCACTCTACACAACAGCTGTGTGTCTTTTTTTTTTTTTCAGACAGAGTTTCGCTCTTGTTGCCCAGGCTGGAGTGCAATGGCGGAATCTCGGCTCACTGCAGCCCCTGCCTCCCAGGTTCAAGCAATTCTCCTGCCTCAGGCTCCCGAGTAGCTGGGATTACAGGCACCTGCCACCACACCCAGCTAATTTTTTGTATTTTTAGTAGAGACGGGGTTTTGCCATGTTGGCCAGGCTGGTCTCGAACTCCTGGCCTTAGGTGATCCGCCTGCTTCGGCTTCCCAGAGTGCTAGAATTACAGGCATAAACCACCACTCCTGGCCACGGCTGTGTGTCTTGGAGCAAGTTCTTATACCTCCCTGATGTTCTGATTTGGAAACTAAGGACAATACTTTCCCTTACTTTCTGCTAAGAAAGAAACTATTTCCCAATACTTTCTGCTAAGATTGTTGCAAGGATCAAATGAAGTAAAGTACATACAAAGCAATTTTGTCAAGCTTAAGGTTTTATATTTCTATTTTATTATCAACGTTTAAATAAAAATCTGATGCTCAGATAAGTCTTGAATAAACATTCAACCTTGTTAAGAGCTAGGATCCAAGACGTTGATTCTCAATTCCCTCCTCTTCCTCTGTGGTGAATATCTGAGCTCACTTGGTACAGTGATGGGTACTTGGATAAACTGCTTGAAGAGTGTGTGTGCAAGGGTGAAATGGGAGATACTGCCTGTACCCCCAAAAGGCCAGCTAGATGAAGGTATGATGATTTTTTTAGCCACTTAATAAAAATGGAGAACCCCATTAACTACAGGGATTTTTGTTTTGCAAAGCATTATTTACAAATTTGGGGCCACAGCTGGGTTGATTAGTTTGATTAGCTTGTTAGTAATATTGGATGTGGATCTTGGCATATTTGGTTGCCCTGATAAGTGAACCAGCATCATAAGTCATAGTGGAGCTATGAAAGGCAGGGAGAAAGAGAGAGAAAACCTAATGTCTGGTCGTTAAAGAAGGGATTTCAGATGAAAATAAAAACATCCAATGGAGAAATGCATTAAGTTGTTTGCTCTGCTGTGTTCTATGAGATGTGAACTATCTGCTCAGTCCCCTGTGAAATCTTCATTACATTCTCTTGCTCAGTGTTTCATGGAGGAGGGTTTGCTCTGGGGCAGAATGCTGCAAATCCCAGAGTTCTGCATCGAGGCTGAGGTGGAACCGAATTAGAGGCTGCTCCCTGGAGGGCAGCCAGACAAGAGTTACATGAAGATTAACAGAGACAAAGAGTGCAACACTGAGTTCCGTAAGTATCAGTAATCATTTTATTGTTGTAACCTGCCATCTCCTGAGTCTGACCGGGAACAACTAACAACCTAGCTTCCCAGAGAAGAAAGGAGTGGCAGTGTTATATATGACATATGGCCTTTTGCCTCCTTACCATGGTTACAACATCTGTTTAGCTCTTTAAAGCAATGTGGTTAAGAAAGGGACACATTGAATGTGTTCTGTTTCTATTATTAGGCTTTATATTTCCTATATTTTTATTTTCCTGTATTATTAAGCTGTATTTTCCTTCTTTTCAATCAAGATGTATCTCACCACACTTTAGAATTATCCTTGTAGAACATCATTCTCTCTTGTCATTATGGTTATTCATTCTAATACACCACGGAAGTAACCATCTTTCTTTGATAAGAAAACAGCATGAAACTGTGGAGGTTAAAAACAAACAAGAAAACAAGCTTAGGCATGTGAAAGATTCATTTATCAAAGCCCTTAATTTTTGTGGATTTTATTTAAAAATGAATTTGAATTCACCTTTGGCTATCTATTGCTTTATCTGCAGAATATGCACCTTTATCCACCATGTATCCAAGGCTAGATGCTTGCTTTTATCTCAGTATTCCTGATAAAAATCTTTGGCTAGATGTAATGGCTGGTTTATGAGGCATCTAATAAATAAATAAATAAATAAATAAATATACATATATATATATATATATATATATATATACACACACACACACATGCATCTATATATACATATAAGATATATGTATCATATATATATACATAAGACATATGTGTATATATATCTTTAAGAGCATAGTAATTAGCATAACACAATACTTTTTTACTATGCTTACAGCCTAGAAATAAAAAAAGGTGGATTTTTTGTTTTCACAGACATTGAAACTTAGAGGGGCTGAACTTAAGGAATAGGAACTGGGAGAGCCTAAACATCCTTCAATGTGAGGGAGAGTCCTGCACAACAAGGAATTGCCCTCTGCAAATGCCAACATACCTTCACTGGGAGACACCTCTGTTCTTTACTGATATGATAGAGACTCACAGATATATAGAAAGAGAATTCCAACTTCCTAACTTTTGACTCACCTATATATAAGCCTGCAAGTGAGTCAAAAGTTAGGAAGCTGGAATTCTCTTTCTGTGTATCTGTGAGTCTCTATCATATCACGGATATATAGAAAGAGAATTCCAGCTTCCTAACTTTGGAATTCTCTTCTATAACTTGTAATTCTCTTTCTATATATCTGTGAGTCCCTATCATATCACAGATATATAGAAAGAGAATTCCAATTTCCTATCTTTCGACTTACCTGCACTCCAGCCTGGGTGACAGAGAGAGACTCCATTTAAAAAAAAAAGGACTGCAAAGATTAAATTACTGTGGTTATTATGCAACACTCTTCACTCTATAGGTGATGGGTTGTGAGTGATGTAGTGCATTATCCAATCTATTACAGCCAATCATACCATCATAGACTTATGACACAGGTTCACCTCTCAGGGCAACCAAATATACCAAGACCTACAACCACCATTACTACCAAACTAATCAGAAACTGAGGGTTGTTTTAAAGTGTTGATTGGATTTCTACTTTATACTATTAAACCACTCAATAAAAGATAAAGAAAATGATCATTTTATGTTGAAAGATTAAAGATAAAGATAATATTTTAGATTCGATTGTTAAGGAAAGGACACTAAATGCAGGTAGGTTTTGACAAAGACTCTTAGGTGATATGCTGGGTCACAGGAAAGAGTTTTATATCCAATTATCAATGGCCACTGTGAATGTAGGAAAGGTGCTCATACCACATATTTTTCACCTGTTAAAATTAAAAATTTTAGATTTTTATAGTTCATTAAAATTTCAATTATACTGAGTCAATAAATATGATGTCTATAATACTGTCAGATATCATTGTATATTTTTCTGATAATAGGTGATGAATAATCCATTATTAGAGCAATTTTAATTGTTCATTAAACATATACCTTGATAGTGAAAATAGAACCATGAAGGAATAACTAGGATCTAAAGAAAGAAGGTGAGAGTGAAAGAAAGTGAAAGATTTATATTCTTGGTGAATTTAATTACTGCGATTTGGGGAGCACAATGCCCCAGAAACAAAGAGTATTCTTCTTAATCTATGACCCATGACTTCTCTTCCAGAAAAAAAAAACAAACTTTGTCCACAATGTACATTTTCATTGATTCTTATCTTCCCACTGTTGTAGCTAAGGTTTTAAAAGTGATCACTTTTATGTTTTTTAAAGACTTGTTTAAAAATCCAGGATGTGTTGAAGATTTCTCATGTCCTGAATTATTTTTGATTTCCAGGATCTGGAAATCTGATATTTCTGATTTTACCAGACTAGTTCTCAGACTCTTCAAAGCCTGAAATTACATTAACTTTTCTTAGAGTTAGACCTAAGATCTTGATGTTCAATATTACAAAGTTTCTCAGTGGATCTTCTCTAATAACCAGTGAATTTATAGCTTCATTGGTTAACAAAATACTACTACTAGAACACATTTTTATAATGCCTTCCAATTTAGAAAGTACTTCCTCTTCAGTAATAGTGAAGCAACAGATACAAAAACTAATAAACAATGCATATGAGTAGTATACTATGAAAATAGGGAATCAGTTAACAGTTCTACATTGAGATCTAGAAGTAGATTAAGTAGCTGGAATTAAAAGATGAACATTCTGAAGTTAAATATATTTTCACCTCAACATTGTGGCTATGCTTACTATGTCTTATTTAGGAATAGTTATTATTCACTGTGAAACTGGTGAACCAAAAATGTCAATTAACTAGCTAGTGAGATGAAAATGTCATTACTCTTATTTATTATTATTTGAGTTTTGGCCACATTCTTACCATACCTCTGAACCACTTCTGATCTCTCCCCTCCCTCCTTATAATTTATAATCTGCTTTAACCAATTCAGTGTGGTTTATTGAAGACAAGAAAGTTAGATCTTCTAAAGACCAAAAAGATTTTATTAGGAGATGATTACAGCATAAATAATAAGTCAAGAGTCTTACTAAAAATACCTATCTAGAGATGAGAAATTTTTCAAAACTTGTAAAAAATGTGATATATCTCAAGAATTATTTTAGAGTGTTAAAAAAATGTAATGAGGTTTCCAGAGATTCTAATTTTTAAAATTATGAAAATTCAAAGATCACATTGGGAGTAGATTTTTAACTGAAAGAATATTTTTAAAATGCATCTTGAAAAAGTCTAATCATAAACCCAAATCCAGAAGAAACTGCACTAATTTTTTGAACCTTTCAACCTTTGTTTTTACTGTAAAATTAATTAGATTTGGGGTGCAGGGAGAGAAAAAATATATTAACTAAAATATTAGTAAATTGAACCAAATCCAAATGGGTGTTTATAAGAATATTCTTCAAATCAAATGATAACATTTAATCTTGGCCCCTACATTGTTCTTTTGAGACAATAATCGTACCTACTAGATAGGGCTGATCATCACACAGTTTTTCCGATATATAATCACTAAGTCTTTGCTAAGTAGTATTAGCAAAATACTACTGCTAGAATGCATTTTTTAATAATGCCTTCCAATTTATAAAATACTTCCTCTTACCTCCCTTATTTATTCCTAGCGATATCTGTGTGAGATTGTAGGCAGGGCACTTCAATTTCTGCATTTAGATATTGGGAATCAAGATATTAGGTGATTTGACCAAGACTGCAAATGTACTATGGAGCAGCAGATGGAAAAGAAACACAGATAACTTGTCTCTGATTTCCATCCTCTGTCTATCTTAATGCTCTCATCTTTGGTACCTCCTATTAGCTAAAGGTGCCCTGATGAGAATGTGACAGCTTTTCAGCATAATGAAACATAGTACTGAATGGAAAGTATTCTAATTCTCAAGACTCAGATTATATATATATATATATATATATACATATATATGTATATAATATATTATATATATACATATATATGTATATAATATATTATATATATACATATATATGTATATAATATATTATATATATACATATATATGTATATAATATATTATATATATACATATATATGTATATATATATGAATTTATCTTCTAAAAATTGTCTACTAAAAAATATTCACTTGTATATTACACTCTTCTCTATTTGCTTCATGTTCTTTCACCCACAAGGTATGTAACTATGGAAAACTCTAGATATTATTCATTCATTCTGCAGCTACTTAATGAGTGCCTACTGTTTGCCTAGTACTGTTCTTGATATTGAGAATGTAGCGTCAGCAGTGAACAAAACAGACACAAACCCAGCTCCTATTTTAGTGTGGGGAGATAAATATCTAATAAAGATTAAAGTATAAGTACAAATTAAATTAAAAATTTAATTTATAGTAATTGCTTTATAGTAAAACAATTTTAATTATAGTAATTTTTAAATTATGGTAAATTTTCTAATTATAGTAATTGCTATAGAAAGAAAAAAAAAACAAGAAAGAGAAATAGGGAGTGATAAAAAGCTGGGGAGTTGGGAGACATGAACGAAAAAGGAAGTAAGGGCCTGGAGGAGATCTCGGGAATGGAGTTCATAGTAAAGCAGAGTTCTAAGACTCCAAGGTAAAAATGTACATGGAGGGGTGAAGGAATGGCAAAAACTCTGGCTCAATAAGAAATGAACGTCAGCAATAATGGAGAACCAGATGAAATGAGGCATTATGGATCATTTTAAGAACTTTAGTGTTTAAGTGTAAAACCTCAGAAGAAAAAAATTCATTTTCCAATCAATAGCTAGATAGACATATTTTTATACTGATTCCAAACTCTAAGATAATGTTCCTCTATTCTTCCTCATTTCCTAAACTTTAAATAAGAAGGATGGACAAGGCAGCACAATCATAGTCCCATTAAATGCTGAAATATAATTTAGTGGTGGCTTTAAATATGATAATTTAGAAACTGTAAAGTGTAAAAAAAATTGTTTCAGCTAAATTCATATTCCTTGGAAAATGAGAAGATGCCTACTACCCACGATGAATTACATACTGTGGTAAACAATAAATAGAATGTATACATAGGAAAAGGTTCATATGTCGATGAAAGAGTACTAAAACTGAAGTCAAATAAGAAGGTTTGACTACAGATTCGAACACGTGTGATTCTGGGCAAATCACAGAACTTATCTGAATCTCCATTCCTCCTATCTGTTTTGTCTCCCTTCAAAGACTATCATGAAGATCAAATGAGACTATATGTTTATTTGTGTAAAAGCACTAAAAATCACTGTAGCTCTAGAATAAATTATTATAAATAATAGTAGTGATATAACTCAGAAATACTCAAATGACAAGAAAGTGAACTCATATGAGTAACTTAGAGTAACTGGTATTGTTTACTGCATAGGATTTTTCCTGCCTTCTTGTTAAATGAAGACATTGCCCAGAATTAGAATTCCATCCAATCTTGTTCTCCTCGTCTTACTCAGCTTACATATTTTCCCTGAGCTCCAGACCCATATTTAAAGAAGAGTATTGAATATGTCCATAAGTGTATACACCTCAAAATTAATATTTACCAAATAAAGTTTATCTTTCTACCACACTACCACCCCCATGTGGTCTCTCTCTCAGTGAATAGAATTATCATCTAACCAATTTCTCAAGTTAAAAGTTGAACAGTGTTCATGTACTCCTCCCTATCCCTCATTGTCACCATTCATTTTAGAGCACTGATTCTAGAGTCAATGCTGAATGACTGTAAACTTGGTAGAGACAAGATTAATTTCATGGCTAGATTACTAGTCATGAGAGCCCAGCAAAATCATTTAAGCTTGCTCTACTTCAATTTTCTTATCTGTAAAATGGGTATTGGACATACGACTCCACAGGGTGCTTGTGAGGATTAAATACATATGCATGCACACACACACACACACATCTTAGACAGTTGTGTGCTAAGTGCTATATAATTGTATTACGTGTATTATTATCAAAACTTACAGAACTGCCCGCTAGCGCTGACCTTACTCTCCTCACCCATTACCATTATCTCACTGCAGACTTTCATCATCTCCTACATGGTGACATTTTTCCCATCTTCTTCATAACTTTCACCACACCATAGTGGCAGATTGACTTGTCTGTCTCCCTTTCTGAACAATGGGCTCCTTAGTGCAGGGCCATCATTTATTTATTTTTGTATCCTTAAAGCCTAGTAATGAGTCTAGCACGTGGTGGCTACTTAATACGTATTTGCTGGAAAGAAGAAGATGGGGGGGCGGAAAAGGGAGGGAGAAAGACAGGGGAAGGAAAGAGAAAGGACAGAGAAGGAAAGGAGGGAGGGAGAGAATGAATGAAAGGTAGATGAAAGGAAGAACAGGGACAGAAAAGAAAACAAAAGCAAGAGAGAGAGTGAGAGAGGAAGAAGAAGGACTAGCCAGCTTTCTTTTCAACGGTTTCTAACTCTTACGAAATCCCATACTTAAGAAACTCCTTCCATACTGCTAGAAGAGTTATTCTTAAAAGCAAAATGTTCACATTAAAATATCCATTAAGAAGTTTGGTTGACTCCTGAATAAAGAATAAAAAATAAAATTCATATCTTGGAACTTCTGATTTTTAATTATCTTTCCAAATTCAATCTCTGCTACCACTTCCCTATCCATATGTCCTATACTCTAGCCACCCTAACTGTCTTGCCATTCTCTAAGTCCATCAGAAATTTCATCCACTCATTGCTTTCTTCGTTCCCTAGATTGCTCACCCTCTTCTTTGCCTGGCAAACTTTTATTCATCCTCTAAGTCCCAGCTCAGATATCTTTTACGTGGTGAAATTTTTTTTAGATTCCCATAAATTTAGATTTTCTACAGAATTTCCTCCATCCTTCCATGGTAACACATCTGGTTAAGTAGTTTATTTTTAAATATAATGATATAATACATATAGTCTGATGTTCCTTAAGATCAAGGATTGTGTCTTGTTTATTTCCATAACTTCTGACACACAAGGGGCTCTCCGTGGCTATTTCTTGGATGAATAAATGAATGAATGAATGAAGGCACTGACCTTCTCTATTTTGTTTCTATGAAAAGCAGTGGTTCCCAAAACTCAGTCTTTAGACAAGGGTCATGTGATTCCAAAAGAAGCACTGGACAAGTGAATTAAAAAATCTTATCCTCAGAGAGTATGAATCAATAGATCTTAAATGCAGCCTAGTAATCTGTATTTTAACAAGATCAACAGGTAAGATCACTTGTGTCAGTTTTTCCCTGCACAAATATGTCCAGCTAAAGGGAAAGGAGCTGAAATAGAGTTCAGGCGCCTTTCTTCATGCCAATTTTGTGTCTTGTAAGAGAAAGATGAATAGATTCTAATATACAATAAATCACTGTGGACACTAGTGGGGCCTTTTTAGGAGGATTCTGAATTTAATTAGAAATAAAGAATGTATTGATCATATAAGCAGTTAACCTATAGCAGTATACAAAAGCGATTTGTGGAGATCTTTTTCAAATAAGTAGTTGGTCATCATTTTAGGATATTTTAAAACAACTGCTGGAAGATAGGATTTGAACAAGATGTCCTTATACATCCTTGCTTACAATATACAACTAAATATTAATTCCAAGAAATAAGTGTATGTAATCTTTTGTTTAACACAATTCAGCTAAAACAGCTGTGACAGAACCCCAGAACTTGAATCATCACAAGGATTTTGAGTTTCAAAATGATGGTAGTATGGGAATCTTTTTAAACATTAAGATCAACTATTCTTCAAGGCTTCAAGTCAATTTCTCACAATACAGTTTTCCTGTATACTCATTTTAAATGGTTTATCAAATTATCACTCAGAATCTATAACAGAAAATTTAAGAAACCTTTGAAAATCTTCATGTATTTAGATACTTTTCATATCTCTGATTGCATCAAGTGCCTCCATGCACCAATGCCTTTATACTTGTTACTCCATCTTGCCAGTTCATCCCTTCTCCCTTCTCCTGGCAACATTTCACTCATCCTTCAAACCCAGCTGAAATATATAGTCATTTAAAAACTATATTTGGCATTGCCTCATTGCTATAATTTAACAAAATAAAGCCAACCTCTGACAGTGAGAGAGAGAGAGAGAGAGAGAGAGAGAAAGCTGCTTTAAAATTTAAGAGCTTAAATCCCTAGATCAATGACTTCTAAATTAATAAAATATATTTTGCTAAAAAGGAAATACAGTGCCATAGAAATGAACACATAGGCATTGTATGTATACAATTACGTAGTCAATGTACAATAGTCAGTATAACTGCAAGTTCAATGCAAAAGCTAGAGCTTTGGAGCTGAGCAAGCTGTAGGATTAGAATCTAGGGCCTGACATTTATCAGTTGTGGGAGCTTAAACAACTCATATAATATCTCTCTGTTTTAGGTCTCTTGAAGTGAAAACAGTACTAATTTGACCTCATTTTATATGGTATGAGGACTAAATTAAACAATGAATGTGAAAGGGTAGCCCTGGATGCAAAAATGGCTGAGAAATAGCCAATGGGAGATAGTTAATGATGTTATCCAGGAAGTGTCATGGTATCCAGACTTTTCCCGAACTAGAGGCAATCTATTTTCACCTCATACTTCAATAATGAAGTTACTTCTCCCACCAAATACAGTAATTTCCCAGGTAGAATGCAGAATAAAGAGTGTTGATCAAGGGGAATACAGAGAGCACTAATGTCAGAGGTGCTATGAGGAAAAAAACACAAGGCCATTTCTGAGTAACTAATGCTAGATCCTTATGCAGCATGGAGTGAAGAAAGCAAATTGTTCCTAATAATAAAATGAATAGTGTTTCTAAAATGAACTTTCAGGAAATACAGAGCCTAGCGTTGCTTTCTAAATATGTTTTAAAACAAAACATGGCTGGGCAGGATGGCTTACACCTGTAATCCCAGCACTTTGGGAGGCCAAGGGGGGCGGATCACCTGAGGTAACAAGTTCAAGACCAGCCAGGCCAACACGGTAAAACCCCATCTCTATTAAAACCACAAAAATTAGCCGGGCATGGTAGCTGGCACCTGTAATCCCAGCTACTCAGGAGGCTGAGGCACAAGAATCCCTTGAACCCCGGAGGCGGAGGTTGTAGTGAGCCAAGATTGTGTCACTGCACTGCAGCCTTGGTGGCAGAGTGAGACTCTGTCTTGAGAAAAACAAAACAAGACAACAACAACAACAACAACAACAAACAGAACAAAATATGACCATCCCAGCACATGCACTCAACAATTAGTCAATGTGCATTTACTGAACTCCCCATTTAGTGTAGGGCTCTGTGACTACAATGGGAAAGACGCCCAGAGCCTGTGGCAGAGACCAGCCCAGGATGCACAGAAAAGGACTGGCAGAACCTGAGTAACAAGAGTAAAATACAAATATAAGCCCGACTAGCTCTATCTTCTTTGTTTAACCAACTACAACCACTTTAGTTAAGCATAGTTAGCCCTGTGGTGATGAAAGGGAACTTGAAATTAACATCAGGACAGTCTGATTATACATAATTTGCCTTTTAATTGTCCAGGAAGGTCTCACTAGTGTTGGTACAGTCTTTCTCAATACCTTTTTTCCATTTTCACAAAATTCAAAAGTTTCCCCAATTATTGTTTTATATTCTCTCTGAACTAAATGCTCCTTACCTATCCATTGCAGTAACATTTCTGGTATTCACAATAATTATATCAGCTAATCAATATACTGTTACAGAATATAGTCAGGGAAAGAAATTTTCATACCAGCCCATCTGTAAGGTTCTCAAAGCAATTTGTGAAAAAATTAAAAAAAATTACCACAGAATATTAATCAGGCTCATTCATTCATATCCTTCTACTCCTTTATTATTGTAGATCATATATTCTACCTGAATTCCCAGGTTTCTTAAGGTAAGATAAGTAATGTTTTAGCACTAAGCTTAAATATAGACTGTGTGTGATTGACTAAAGATTGAAAACGTTTCTGCTAGAATCTAAGTCTGAAAAAAAGGGGAAATAAAATAATTTGGAAGTTGCCTGTACTGTGCCTGAACTCAGTAGAACACCATGACCCAGGACATTGAAAGATAGAAATATTTGAGGCAATTTCTGATTTAGAAAAATCACAAGCCTATTTGGCTTGAAGCCATTGCTCCTCCAACCTTACTTCATACAAATAAATAACACAGAAAAATTGAAGATTGTAAAGTAGGTTTAGAAGACTTTTGGTGGAATATTATGTACCCAAAACACAAGGGGTTTAAATTAGTACCTTAAAATGTTCCATTTACCACACATCACAGGAAGTAAGAGTCTGTTTTCGGTTTCTGTTTAGCTTCATTCCTCCAAATCTTTGACCAGCTGAACTGCTTGTTCCAGGTCATCAAACTCCTTAATAATTAAACTCCCAAATTCAGACTGAGATAGGATATAGCTGGCTACAGATTGCTGGTAATTCATGTAGAAGAAAAAATACTGCTGCAAGTAGAGTCACATGTGTATGCATATATACCAACCATGCACAGACACAATTTCTTCTGAAACACAGAGAAAATCTATATTACCACAAAGATAAATATAAAGAGGAATTTTAACTGGTAAGCCAACATACGGCAACTATGTCAAAGCCTGAGTAACTTTCAAATTTTAAATTCTTCACAGTCTTTCCCATATGAACCCAAGTCATTTTACCTCGGCTAGGATCTCTGGTTCAAATATGGCCCTACAATTCTACTGGCTATAGATAAAACAAAGTAGACCTGACTTTCTCAATTTGAACTCTAAAGAAAAGTCGGTTCCATAAGATACTGTTACACAGAGAGAAAAGAGCCTCATGGTCAAACTGGGCGCTACTCAGTTAAATAAAGCTGAATGAGTTTTTGGTTTTTGTTTGCTAACTAGTGGGTTTTCTCACAAATGTTAACGTGCATTGTTCCTAAGATGTTAAATTGTGAATTGGGAAGTGGGTGCAGAGCCAACACTAAATGTGGCAACACTAAATGTGGCTTTTCCCAAAGGTGTTTGGACATCCCATGGAGGTGTTATAAGCCACATATAATGAGAAACTGCTAAATATTTGCATTTAGCAGCCCCCACCACACCAGTTTTTCCCTTCCAGTACCCTTTAACTAACTCCTCCCCACTCTCCTAGTTATCATTGCTCCCATTGCCCAATAAGCCCCAGGTGCCCTCACGCTGCCCAGGACCACTTTAGTGACTGGAGGCTAATTTTCCTCCAAATGTAGGCAATTGTTCAATTTGATTCTCTCAATTTCTTTTCTTTCTTTATAACAATAAGAAAAGCTAGGATTTTTTTGTTGTTTGCTATACATTAGACATGGGATATGCCTTATATTTTTTCATATTTTTAAATTAAAAATGTTCATACTAACCTGCACAATGTGCACATGTACCCTAAAACTTAAAGTATAATAATAAAAAAAAGAGTTATAAAAAAAAGTTCATAATAAATATCTGACTCATATGAGAGACTATATGTAACATGTATGTTAATTAATTAAAATGATCCAGCAAACAGATTAAGAATAATAGTATAATAAGTACATTAGTGTCTCCCTAGGTTCCTCTCATCTCCAGTCCTCCTGCTACCACAGATAACTGCTATAATAATTTTAGGATATATTTTTCCTTGATTTTTAAATTTTTAAATTTTTCAAATATGTATTTGTCAATAAACAATATTTGTTTACTTTTGCTTATTTCTGAGATATATAAAAGTAGAGTTGTACTCTATGTAATCTTTAATGACTTGAATTTTTCCCTAATATTTTCTAAGATGGAGCCAAATTGTGTGTACAGCTGGAATTCATTCTTTTTTGCTGCTATATAACATTCTATTTCATGAATATACAACAATTTATCTATTTTCCTGTTGGTGGACATTTAAGGTGTTTCTAACCATTTTATTATTACAAATAGTAACACTATGAATATTCTTGCATATGTGCAAGATATTCTTTAGGGTATATAATTAGGAGAAAAATAATAAATTCTATTACTTGAGACTATTAAACTTTAAACATAAATCTAAAGCAGATTGTACCAATTTATATCCCCATGAATTACATATATGTGTGTCTATGCATGTGTGTATATGTGTATATATATATATGTATGTGTGTGTATGTGTATATATTTATAGGAATACTTATTAGACCTCCTCATCAATAACTGTTGAGGTTATTTAGTGGATACAAGTTTAGAATTGTTATCAAATCTTAGTGAATTAAGCCTGTTATTGTAGCAGGAAGGGCAGCAGACAAAACCCCTCAGACACCAAGTTAAAGAAGGAAGGGGTTTATTTGGCCAGGAGCATCAGCAAGACTCCTGTCTCAAGAGCCGAGCTCCCCAAGTGAACAATTCCTGTCCCTTTTAAGGGCTCACAACTCTAAGGGGGTCCGCGTGAGAGGGTCATGATCGATTGAGCAAGAAGGGGGTACGTGACTGGAGGCTGCATGCACCAGTAATCAGAACAGAACAGAACAGGACAGGGATTTTCACAGTGCTTTTCCATACAATGTCTGGAATCTATAGATAACATAACCGGTTAGGTCAGGGGTTGACCTTTAACTACCAGGCCCAGGGTGCGAGGCTAGGCTGTCTGCCTGTGGATTTCATTTCTGCATTTTAGTTTTTACTTCTTCTTTCTTTGGAGGCAGAAATTGGGCATAAGACAATATGAGGGGTGGTCTCCTCCCTTATTCCCTTCCTCTCACTCATTTTATTAGTGGGGGTTCTCACCTTCATCCTCACTACCTATGTCTTCCTGCATGACAGATCGATAGTGATTCATGTAGTACACTTGTGCTGAATGTAGTACATTCTGGTGAACTAGAGTAGCGATGGAACCTTTTACCATTTGAATGAGTACAGGTAGTAAACAAGGGATCAGTAAGCAGTTCCTACTACTACTAAAATTTCTATTATAAGAGTTTTAAATCCTCCTAGCACCAGGAACCGTTTTCAAACATGGCCTCAGGGTCAAATCTGTGCCACAAGCCTACAGGCACATGTGCCAGTTTCGTCATGTCTTTATATCTTTGACCTGCCCCTGATCATCTATATGCAGGCAGCAATTGGTAAGGTTAAATTTTCTACAGACCTTTCCTTCAGCTGCTAGCAAGTAGTTGAGAGCCAGTCTATTTTGATAGACAGCATTTATCATTTGGGTTTCTTGCCAGGCCAGAATAGTCAAGGCTCTGCCGGTCTTATTAGTGATTATTTCTAAGACAGCTTGTAACCATATGATTCGGTTGAGCATGTAAATGGGGGTTGGGTATCCTCACAAGCCATCTTGTGCCTAAGTAGCAGGCCTATAATATTGTATGATTCTCTCAGGGGGCTATTTATTATCTTTTCTATTACCTATGGCTGTGTTTCACTTTTCGCGGGAAGCATAGACAGGGAAGCCGAGGAGTTCGCCTGTTTTTATGGACAGTAGGAAGAAAGATGGTTTAATAGTGCCAATAACACAACTACCTGCCCACTAGTCAGGTAATTTGGTGTAAGCTCTATGCATACATATCCAGCATAATCCAGTGGAGGCTGTCCAGTCCTGGTGGGACTCCAGGTGGGTCCACACAGTTTGCAACTTTGGGAATTTACTAAATGGATTTTTCCTTAGTGTGGTTTGAACTCCACTAGGTGGCTGTTTTTGTAGTACTATTATACAGTTTCTGCCTAAGGCAGCTGAGTCTTCCCACAGGAAGGGTGAAGTCCTTCCCCACTCTTGCTATACAGTATTGTCTAATGGTTGAGGCTTTTAGGACCTAGAAGTTATCAGGGTGATTCTTTTGAGCCGAGAATTCATCAAGAACTGGGTCTGTAGGTACTAATTCTAGGGTTTCCCATGGCCATTGATCTCCTATTACAGTTCCTCTATATACATAACATGAAGTGACATTGAGAGACTGGGCTACATGCTTGGCTAATTGCAAATACAAATTTCTTGTTTTTCCTGGAATTTCTGGTACTGGCACATTCAGTTTATCATAGAAGGTTTGAAATACTGGCTCAGGAGAGCGTCTATAAACTTCTCCTCAAACCACGATATTTACTCCAGGATCCAGTCTGGCCCTATCGATTCCTAGGGTTACATGCTCCCCTTTTTTCCAGCGAGGATCAAGGGGGTTGGTTATTACTAGTTCTAAGGGGTTACACTGGCCACTGGTACAGGAAGGGCCACTTTTCCTTTTCTGAAGGTGGACAGGATCCTTTTTATTTTTTATCCAAGTAGCCTAAATGACACAAGACCAGTATCCACATTCATTTTTAACACAGTTCTAATTCATGACAAATGTACTTATTTTCTGCCATATGGCCTCTTTCCTGATTAAGAGAACCACATCCTATTCCTAACTTATTACTATTAATGACAGCACAGGCCTCAAACTTCAAGGTGACTTGTTTGGGCACCTTTTTTTTGTTTGTTTGTTTTGGCTAACACTTTACTCGTATCGTTTATGAGCCCCTACCAGTCCTCAGACCTTAATCTTATTTTTAAAACTGTGGTCATGGGAGGCTCAGATGGGTCATAACACACATCAGGTTGGTCATTTCCTGGGCTATATACCTTGTATAGAATAACATTATACAAACAAGCTCTTTTTAGAGTTCTAGTACACTTATAATAACCATAAAATAATAGGACTGTAGCAACCTTTTGTCCTACCTCAGTGACTTGATGTATACACTGGGAACAGTCCTCAATCTGAGGAAGGACAGTTGAAGTCCTTACTGTAAAATTCCAAATGTTAAGGAAAATGAGTTCCGTGATGAGTTTCCTCATGCTTCGGCCATGCGTGGACCAGTCAGCTTCCGGGTGTGACTGGAGCAGGGCTTGTCATCTTCTTCAGAGTCACTTTGCAGGGGTTGATGAAGCTGCTCCTATCCATGTACAGCTCCCAGTCTACTGAGGTTTAAGGATGGTCTCGGAGGTTGGGCCCACTAGAATAAACTGAGTCCAACACTTCTACACAGTTATGTTCAACTGGGCTCTCTGATACCGGGAGCAAGGTGGCGGGGTTTAGGGTGTTGCAAACTTTAATGGTTATGTGGGGATTTTCACAGAGCAAGCTTTGGTATCTAGTTAGTCTAGCATTCATTAGCTATTGATATCCTTTGGTATTTATTAAAGTCACCACAGCATGGGGGCACTTTATGTTTAGGATTTGCCCAATAGTTAGCTTATCTGCTTCTTGTGCTAACAGGGCCATTGCTGCCAGGGCCCTTAGACATGGGGGCCAGCCTTTGGAAACCCCATCTAGTTGTTTTGAGAGATAGGCCACTGGCCTTGGCCAGGGCCCCACAGTCTGGGTTAAAATTCCAACTGCCATTTTTTGTCTTTCTGACACATACAGTGTAAAAAGTTTTGTCAGGTCAGGTAGACCCAGGGCTGGGGCTGACCTAAGTTTTTCATTTAACTCATGAAAAGCTCATTGCTGTTGGTTGTAATAGATGTAGTTTATCTAATCTACATTTTTATTAACTGTCACCTACTAAAATATTGCCTTAAATCCTGTAGCTATTTGACTTCAAGCTTTAAATCGATCTGGTATTCCTTGCGGGGCTCCAGTTGCATCTAAATAGATGTGAGAGTCGAAAGACCCATAAGGGGCTTCTCTCGCTTTACGATGTCTTATTTTTTCTCCCTCTGGTCGATGAAATGCCAGGGTGAAAGGGTAGCCAAATGGACTAAAGCATAAGTGACGCTCCTGTTATTTGGCAGAGTGCCCAGTAAAGGTCCACCACAATACCACCACACATCCACTCCAGGATGAACAAGGGCTGACTGATCGATAAGCTCTTGAATATTCTTAAGCTCATCACATCCCTTCAGGTCTCCAAGGAATGCTAAGTTTCCTCCCTGTTGTGAGAGACACGAAATGAACTTAGTGTTGGGAGACGGAAGCTGGATGGCCCTCAGGGGCTGATCTGCAGGGTGCCGGACTTTGGGATATAGCAGAGAGAGCTTGCCATGACTTATTACTCCAGGCTGTAGAATCTTGGAAAAGAGCTACCATGCAGCCTATGCCTGGTTGACTGGAGGACCACCTTAGTGGAAGAGGGACAATCTGGGCCTCTGGCCTGCCATGTGCACAAGCATAACAATTGCTTTTGTTTAACGTGCAGATGGAATATTTGATCCATTTTAACCAGGCATTTGCATCTTGGTATCCTGTCTTAATTGCTAAAGCTTAAGTCTTTAACTTCCATGATTCTCTAGTAAAATGAATGTATGGTTTTAGGAAATTACAAAAACTGGTTGGGACAGTCCATCCTTGCTCTTTAGTGGTCCACAGAACGTTGGACCAACTATGGCATGAAAGCTCTACATTGGGAGGCAAGACTCCTCGTTGGCACTGGGGCCTTTATTGAAATCTCTCCAGATTAAGTGGTCCTAGTCTACTAATGCCCAGTCTGAGTAGAGTCAGGAGGGACAGAAGTGCTTTTCTGAAGTAGAAAGTTGTCTTTGACTTGGCAACTCCCTACAGGGTATAACAAGGCAAGCATTAAATGCCATAGTTTGAGGCGAAATTGACTTGGTTATGTTAATAACTAGATGGTCAGCAATAGAACGAGGAAAGAAGAAAGAGTAATAGAATAGATGAAAGAGTTAAATTTTTCTTAGCTTGAGTTTGGTAGGGTTTTCCCCTGGGACTATGGCCCGCAACTCTGGAGGAGGTGGCGCTTTCTTGACTCAGGTGTGATGAGTCCATCCATTTTTGCTGTACGAACAGCAGTCTCGGTGGTTAGCAGCACAAGGTAGGGTCTTTACCAGGCTGGCTCAAGTTTTTCTTCTTTGCACCCTTTGATGAGAATGTGATCTTCAGGCTGGTGCTGGTTTACCAGAAATTCTAGGGGTGGTACATGTGCTAAAAGACTTTTAGTTTTTGAGGGAAAGGAAAATGGAAGATAAACCAAGTATATAATTTTTAAGAAATTGACCTTTTGTTTTAAATGTGGGGACCTTGGCAGTGGAGTTTATAGTCCTTAGTGCCTTTTTTACTGAGAAATTTCCTTTAGCACCTATTTTTATATTTTATATATATACTTTTAAGTTTTTTAAACTAAACTTTTTTAGTTTTTTTTAGTTTGTTATATTATTTTTCTTTAGTTTTTTAAGCCAAAGAAAGCCAAATACCATTTTACATTTAACAATGCTTCCTGTATGATTTTTATACCAGATAAGCTTAATTTTACCTTTATATTAGTGTGTTATTAATGTTAAACCTAATTTTAATAAAACCTTGTAGACATATTTATCCAATTTTCAATGTTTGACCATAAGGTAAGATTTTATAGACTCTTTTTAGCCTTTTATAATTTTTGCTAAAGAGCAGGTTGGTGCTTTAAGAAAAACGTGTTATGCTTTTATTTTAATGTCCAGTTTACAGAAAAACTGGATGATACCTCTTTAACTTTTGCCAATGTTTACACACAGAATTTTCTTTCCAAATAACATTTTAAAACTTGATCAAACCTTTAAAACAAAATACACATATTTTTAACCTTTTAATATAGGTAAAACTTTATATTCTTATGCCTCCTTATAATTCTTCTACCAAAAGTATATTTTACTTTCCTTATATACCTTGCATATAAAGTATTTCTTTAATAGTTTTATATTTAGGAGGCCTAATTACTTTTAAATTATACAACATTTCTTGCACAAATTTCCTTTTATAACCTTTTTTTTTTAAAAAAAACAGTTAATTTACTTTAGAAAATAATTTACCATATAACATTCCTTTTCATATAAATTCTTCCCTATTTTAGGACAATAATTTACCATATAACATTCCTCTTTATATAAATTCTCCCTTTTTTTTCTAACAGAAGAGCCCCATACTTTAAGATTTTTTAGTTAGTAAGCTACTTTTTTGTCTTTTTGTTTTAGGATAGTTCTGAACTGAACTATTGAGGTGTGCTCACAATGAGGTTTCCTCTAAAAGTTATTTTTCTACTTTCTTCTGTTAGCAAAGCAGTTGCCACTACAGGTTAAATGTATTTGGGCCATCCGTGGATTACTGAGTTAAGGATTTTTGATAGAAGGCTACAGGTTGTCAGTGGCCTCATTTGGCCCCTCTCTGCCTCTGCGCTCCTCTCTGCCCCAATCTCTCTCTCCCTGCCTCTCTCTCTCTTCTCTCTGTCTCTCTCTCTCTCCTCTCTGCCTCTCTCTCCTCTGTCTCTCTCTCTCTTCTGTGCCTCTCTCTCTCTTCTCTCTGCCTCTCTCTCCTCTGTCTCTCTCTCTTCTGTGCCCCTCTCTCTCTTCTCTCTGCCTCTCTCTCCTCTGTCTCTCTCTCTTCTGTGCCCCTCTCTCTCTTCTCTCTGCCTCTCTCTCCTCTGTCTCTCTCTCTTCTGTGCCCCTCTCTCTCTTCTCTCTGCCTCTCTCTCTCCCCTCTCTGCCTCTCTCTCCTCTGTCTCTCTCTCTCCTCTGTGCCTCTCTCTCTCTCCTCTCTGCCTCTCTCTCCTCTGTCTCTCTCTCTCCTCTGTGCCTCTCTCTCTCTCCTCTCTGCCTCTCTCTCCTCTGTCTCTCTCTCTCCTCTCTGCCTCTCTCTCCTCTGTCTCTCTCTCTCCTCTGTGCCTCTCTCTCTCTCCTCTCTGTCTCTCTCTCCTGTCTCTCTCTCTCCTCTCTGCCTGTCTCTCTCTCCTCTCTGTCTTTCTCTCTCTCTCTGCCTCTGCCAGCTGCTTATGCTGCAGTTCTCTCAACCACTGTGGAGGGATCTAAAACCAGCTGTAACCAGGTGTCTATGTACCGGAACTGGTCTGGGTGCCCTGGCTTTACAAGTTACCTTGTGCCTTACCTTTGAAATAAGGGACCTGTCCAGGCTTCCTTCTGATGGCCAACCCACCTCTAATGCTGGCCAGTCTATTTTACATAAAGTTCTAAGTTTTCCTGGTGTCACAGTAACTCTATAGTCTCCTTTAAATCCCTTTTTGAAATTTTTCAACACAGTTCCTAGTGGGGTGGGCTTACTTTGTGTCTCACCCAGGTTCCCTCAAGACAAAACACCACGCTCACACCACACACACACCACAAAACAAAGAATGGGTAAAAAGGGCACACACACACTTTTACAGTTTACGCCAAACCAGAATCAAAACCAAAATCAGGTTATCAAGAAATCCAAGCCAAGTCAAAACCAAAGTATCAAGCAATCCAAGTCAAGTCAAAAACAAAAACCAAAGTGCCAGTACAGGCACGTCATGGGTGATCAGGCCACACTTCCTCTCAAATGGAGTAGGCAAGTTCCCAAGACCAGTCCTGTTAAGTAATTCAAACCAAGTCAAAACCAAAACCAAAACCAAAGTGCCGATAAAGGCACGCTGTGGGTGATCAGGCCACGCTTCCACTCAAATGGAGTGGGCAAGTTCCTAAGACCAGTCCTGTCAAGCAATCCAAACCAAATCAAAACCAAAACCAAAGCACCGATAAAGGCACGCCGTGGGTGATCAGGCCATGCTTCCACTCAAATGGAGTGGGCAAGTTCTAAAAACCAGTCTTACCAAGTTTTAGATGTCCAGACTCCAAGTGCCAGTTCCTTCCTGGTGTTCAGCCACTGCATTGATCCTCCACAGGAGCCTGCCACACACTACTCTGGCAAGGCGTCCCACCAGGGCAAATGCCTACCTGAGAGTGCTCTCAGGATCCGCATTGCTCGGGCTGGTCAGAGTCCCCTGCAGGGATGTTCCACAGGGCAGGCTTAAGCCCCCTAAGGAGCTGCCTCCACCATCCTCCAATCACCTTGCTTCCCAGTCAGGGAACCAAGAAATGTAGCAGGAAGAGCCACAGACAAAAACCCTCAGACACCGAGTTAAAGAAGTAAGGGGTTTATTCAGTTGGGAGCATCAGCAAGACTCCTGTCTCAAGAGCTGAGCTCCCCAAGTGAGCAATTCCTGTCCCTTTTAAGGGCTCACAACTCTAAGAGGGTCCAGGTGAGAGGGTCATGATCAATTGAGCAAGCAGGGGGTACGTGACTGGAGGCTGCATGCACTGGTAATCAGAATGGAACAGAACAGGACAGGAATTTTTACAATGATTTTCCATACAATGTCTGGAATCTATAGATAACATAACCAGTTAGGTCGGGGGTCAATCTTTAACTACCAGGCCCAGGGTGCAGTGCTGGGATGTCTGCCTGTGGATTTCATTTGTGCCTTCTAGTTTTTACTTCTTCTTTCTTTGGAGGCAGAAATTGGGCATAAGACAATATGAGGGGTGGTCTCCTCCCTTATTATCATTATACATTGATCCTCTCTTTGCCATTTAATTCTTTTTATCAGAGATGTATTTTTTCTGATTTTGATGTAGTTATCCTAACCTAGCTTTTCCTTTTCTTTTCAGTTAGTATTTGCCTGGTGTATCTTTTTCTAATCTTAACTTTCAAGTTTTTTTGTCTTTACATTTCTTGGTCTTCAAAAATAACATACAAGCAACTTATATTTTTACCTGCCAGTTTCAGTTCATTTATGTTTACTATGATCACTGATATATTTGGATTTGTTATACAGGTATTTGGATATATTTGTCACATCTTTTTTTTTTTTTTTTTTTTTTTGCTCCTCAATTTCATTTTCATTGAATGCTTTTGGCTGGTATACACTTTTTCTTTCGTGGTTAATTATTCAGCATCTTTTTTTATTATACTTTAAGTTCTAGGGTACATGTGCACAACGTGCAGGTTGGTTACATAGGCATACATGTGCCATGTTGGTTTGCTGCACCCATTAACTCGTCATTTACAGTAGGTATTAACTGTTCAGCATCTTAAGACCTTAAGCAATAAAAGAACTCTAGAATCTTGTTATCCAAAGTGTGGTCTCACCTGGGAGCTCATTTGAAAGGTACATTCTCAGCCCCACTAGACAAGCTGCTGTAGCCATCCAGCTGAAAAAGTATGGACTCTATCCAAAATTTGGTTTGGGTTCAGTCTGATGATGTCACAAGAACATTGCCCCCTCCCCGCCTACACACACACACACACACACACACACACACACACACACACACACACACAAAAAGAGGGCCTAAAAATATTTACTCCTCACATAATGAAGCTTACTGGAGAAAGTAGGGTGTATTGAATTAAGTCCAAAAATGGCTACAAAGATAAAGGAAAGGCAACTGGCTTGGTGTTTTGTGTGGAGAGCAGTGGGCACTATACTTGGTGCTGTGAGCAGGGTGTATAGACCACAATTACCACCAATGGAAGTCTTTTTTCATTTGATTTGGCTTTTTTAACGGAATTTCATGCCTGTTGGTGAGCTTTCTCTTTGAGCTGTGCCAGTTTATGCTGCATTTGGTGAGTCCTACCAAGGCTTTGTTATAGATTTAATGGATCTAAGTCAGATATTATAACTGACATTTAGAGCCAGGTGATGGTATTGGAGCCCTTGTTAAAGTGACCCTGGCTCTTGTGCTTTAACCCAGACCTGTGTAAGTCTCAGAAAAAAATCATATGTCTTGATTCTAGCATAAGCTCAGGACAACTTTTACCCTGGGCCCCATGGTCATATGCCTCAACCAGGTGTTATCTCCATTCTATAGCACACTCAAAGGAAACACTGATATCCACCGGGTGGTCACTTGCATGGAAAAGTAGTTACTGTGTGGCATGCTTAAGTCACACTCCTAAATGCAAATACATCCTATTTTTGCTGCTGCTGCTGCTGCTGCCTATGCCTCTGTCACCAGAAAATATCCTGATCCTCAAGGTTGTAAGGAAAATACCTATTGCACACCTGTGGCACAGCCAAAGGCTAATTCTACCACCGCCATGAGAGAGGCCCCTAATGCTGATGATGCTGGTTTGAGAATCTCTTGAAGAATCTCTTATTTAAAAATATGAGCAGAGTAGAGAGTACCTCCTCACTTCCAAAGTAATCCCATAACGAGCAACATGGCCAGCGAGCAGGCAGGCAAGAAGGAAGGAAGAAATAAAGGAAGTACCAGAAAAAGAAATAAAGAAAAGAAAGAAACCTGGATACAAGAGGAAGGAACAAACAAACAAAAGTGAAACAGAGGTCCAAAATTTGACCCAATTGAAAATCCAAAATTTACTTAAAGAATTTACATACAAAAAATAAGAATGCTGATCAGCTTTTGCACATCTAAAATACAAGTTCTAAATTAACTTTAAAAGTTGCTGAAATATATCAATTGGCAAATCTTACAGCCTTCATCCATACTGTGGCCTAAATTAGTTGTACCTGAGGATCCCACTAAATTTAAACAAGGTACCCCCTATAATCTTAAGTGAGTTACTGAACATAAAAGAGAACAAAGAGTTATGTGTCACCTTAATTACCAGAACTATCACCTTGCCTAAATTTCCTTGATCATAGCATCCATTGCTTTAAAATATCCCATAGTAGGCATGAATGCTTTAAGCCAATAGCTAATAAACTAAAATTAAATTTTTATCCCTTATAAACTGGATTTACAAAATAGGACCCTATGGACGATCCCTCTCTACTTAAATAGTTAATACTGCCTAATGTAAATTAAAACAGAAACTTCAAAAATTAAAATCATTATATAAGACCTATTTGAAGAAGAGTGATTACCCCCCACTGTGTCTCTATTTAACAGCCCTATTTGGCCTGTTCTTAAAGTTGGAAAAAATGAATGGTGCCTCACAGGGCTTACCCACAGTCTTAAAACTGTGATCTCCCTCATTTAGGCACTCATATGCAATATTATTGAAATTACTGGCTCCAACTACTCAGCAAATTGTACTAAGAGGTGACAGCATGCTGGCAGCCCTCACTCACTCTCGGAGCCTCCTCAGCCTCAGCACCCACTCTGGCCATGCTTGAGGAGCCCTTCAGCCCACCGCTGCACTGTGGGAGCCCCTCTCTGGGCTGGCTGAGGCCGGAGCCAGCTCCCTCTGCTTGCGCAGAAGTGTGGAGGGAGAGGGGCAGGCGGGAACCGGGGCTGAGTGAGGCACTCACAGGACAGTGCGAGTTATGGTTGGGCATGGGCTTGGCAGGCCCTGCACTCAGAGCAGCCAGCCAGTGCCACTGGCCCCAGGCAGTGAGGGGCTTAGCACTTGGGCCAGCAGCTGCAGAGGGTGCATCGGGTCCCCCAGCAGTGCCAGCCCACCGGCGCTGTGCTTGACTTCTTGCTGGGCCTCAGCTGCCTCCCGGTGGGGCAGGGCTTGAGACCTGCAGCCCACCATGCCTGAGTCTCCCCTCAACCCCCGCCATTGGCCCCTGTGCGTCCTGAGCCTCCCTGACGAGTGCTGTCCCCTGCTCTGCAGTGCCTGGTCCCATTGACCGCCCAAGGGCTGAAGGGTGCGGGCCATGGCGTGGGACTGGTGGGCAGCTCCACCTGCGGCCCTGGTGCGGGATCCACTAGGTGAAGCCAGCTGGGCTCCTGAGTCTAGTGGGGACTTGGAGAACCTTTATATCTAGCTAAGGGATTGTAAATACACAAGTCAGCACTCTGTGTCTAGCTTAAGGTTTGTAAACACACCAATCAGCACTCTGTGTCTAGCTCAAGGTTTATAAATGCACCAATCAGTGCTCTGTGTCTAGCTAATCTAGTGAGGACTTGGAGAATCTTTATGTCTAGCTAAGGGATTGTAAATACACCAGTCAGCACTCTGTGTCTAGCTTAAGATTTGTAAACACACCAATCAGCACCCTGTGTCTAGCTCAAGGTTTGTAAATGCACCAATCAGTTCTCTGTGTCTAGCTAATCTAGTGGGGATTTGGAGAACTTTTGTGTCTAGCTCAGGGATTGTAAATGCACCAATCAGCACCCTGTCAAAATGGACCAATTGTCTCTCTGTAAAACAGACCAATCAGCTCTCTGTAAAATGGATCAAACAGCAGGATGTGGGTAGGGCCAGATAAGGGAATAAAAGCAGGCTGCCCGAGCCAGCAGTGGCAACCTGCTCGGGTCCCCTTCCACACTGTGGAAGCTTTGTTCTTTCAGTCTTTGCAATAAATCTTGCTGCTGTTCACTCTTTGGGTCCGCACTGCCTTTATGAGCTGTAACACTCACCACAAAGATCTGCAGCTCCACTCCTGAGGCAAGCGAGACCACGAACCCACCAGGAGGAATGAACAACTCCAGACAGGAGGAGTGAACAACTCCAGACATGCTGCCTCAAGAGCTGTAACACTCACCGCAGAGGTCTGCAGCTTCACTCCTGAAGCTGGTGAGACCATGAACCCACCAGAAGGAAGAAACTCTGAACACATCCCATATTCGAACATCAGAAGAACAAACTCCAGACACACCACCTTTAAGAACTGTAACACTCACCGCGAGGGTCCGTGGCTTCATTCTTGAAGTCAGTGAGACCAAGAACCCACCAATTCTGGACACATTTTGGCAACAACGAAGGTACTATCGCCTATCACCAAGTGATGAGACTATCACCAAGGGGTGAGACCATCGCCTACCGCTGAGTGGCGAGACTGTCACCTATCGCCAAGCAGTGAGTACCATCGGACCCCTTTCGCTTGCTATTCTGTCCTATTTTTCCTTAGAATTCAGTGGCTAAATACCTGGCACCTGTCAGTCAATTAAAGGGGACTAGCCGCCAGACTAAAGACACTGGTGTCAGGCTTTCTGGGAAAGGGCTCTCTAACAACTCCCGACTCTTTGGAGTTGGGAGCGTTGGTTTGCCTAGAACCAGCTTCCACTTTTCCTGTACTTCTGGGCTGAGCCGAGGGTCGACGGAGAGGAAAGCCATGCAACTCCGGGGTCCCGACAACAAGATGGTTGACCCTGTGGTCATGAGCAGAACTCTCAAAGGCATGTCACCCAAGCGAGACTCACCCATCTATCCTATCTATCCTGACCTTTGCCCCCTAGGTCCTAATGCCTGCCAAGCAAACTTCCTCTCACCTCTCTTCTCCAAGGTTAGTCCCACTTCTAAAAATCACTACCTGTCTCTGGTGCTTTTCTAGTTTCTCCTATAAGAATGATTTCTAGTATAAACTCCAGGGCTCTGTTACGTTCTTTAGCCACCTGGGCTCACCAATCAGAAAGACATAATTTTTGCCCAAAGCCCCGTCATAGTGGGGACTACCTGGAATTTTAGGATCCCTCCTCAGACTAACAGGCCTAACAAAAGCTATTCCTGAAGCTAGGATATGGGGAGCCTCAGAAATTGTATCCTTCCTATTCATATAAGTGAGGACAAAAGGCATCACTCTTCCAACTCTGGAGATCCATTCCCTCCCTCAGGGTATGGCCCTCCACTTCATTTTTGGGGCATAACATCTTTATAGGACAAAGGTAAAGTCCCAATACTAACAGGAGAATGCTTAGGACTCTAACAGGTTTTCGAGAATGCGTCAGTAAGGGCCACTAAATCCGATTTTTCTTGGTGCTCCTTGTGGTCTAGGAGGACAGGCAAGGGTGCAGGTTTTTGAGAATGCATTGGTAAGGGCCACTAAATCCGAACTTCCTCAGTCCACCATGTGGTCTGGGAGGGAAACTAGTGTTTCTGCTGCTGCATCAGTGAGTGCAACTATTCCGATCAGCAGGGTCCAGGGACTGTTGTGGGCTCTTGGGCAGGAGGAGAAACAAAACAAACCAAAAGTGTGGGCGGTTTTGTCTTTCAGATGGGAAACACTCAGGCATCAACAGGCTCACCCTTGAAATGCATCCTAAGCCATTGGGACCAGTTTGACCCATAAACCCTGAAAAAGAGGCAGCTCATTTTTTTCTGCACTATGGCTTGGCCCCAATATTCTCTCTCTGATGGGGAAAAATGGCCACCTGAAGGAAGTATAAATTACAATACTATCCTGCAGCTGACCTTTTCTGTGAGAGGGAAGGCAAATGAAGTGAAATACCTTATGTCCAAGATTTCTTTTCATTGAGGGGGAATACATAACTATGCAAAGCTTACAATTTACGTCCCACAGGTGGACCTCTCAGCTTACCCCCATATCCTAGCCTCCCTATAGCTCCCCTTCCTATTAATGATAATCCTCCTCTAATCTCCCCTGCCCAGAAGGAAATAAGCAAAGAACTCTCCAAAGGATCACAAACACCCCCTCCACGGGCTATCAGTTATGTCCCATTCAAGCTGTAGGGGGAGGGAAATTTGGCCCAACCCGGGTACATGTCCCCTTCTCCCTCTCTGATTTAAAGCAGATTAAGGCAGACCTGGGGAAGTTTTTAGATGATCCTGATAGGTATATAGATGTCCTACAGGGTCTAGGGCAAACCTTCAACCTCGCTTGGAGAGATGTCATGCTACTGTTAGATCAAACCCTGGCCTTTAATGAAAAGAATGCAGCTTTAGCTGCAGCCCGAGAGTTTGGAGATACCTGGTATCTTAGTCAAGTAAATGATAGAATGACACCAAAGAAAGGGACAAATTCCCTACTGATCAGCAAGCCATCCTCAGTATGGATCCCCACTGGGACCTTGACTCAGATCATGAGAACTGGAGTTGTAGACATCTGTTGACCTGTGTTCTAGAAGGACTAAGGAGAATTAGAAAAAAGCCCATGAATTGTTCAATGATGTCCACCATAACTAAGGGAAAGGAAGAAAATCCTTCTGCCTTCCTTGAGTGGCTATGGGAGGCCTTAAGAAAATATATTCCCCTGTCACCTGACTTACTCGAGGGTCAATTGATTCTAAAAGATAAGTTTATTACCCAATCAGCTGCAGATATCAGAAGAAAGCTCCAAAAGCAAGCCCTGGGCCCTGAACAAAATCTAGAGGCATTATTAAACTTGGCAACCTCAGTGTTCTATAATAGGAACCAAGAGGAACAGGTCCAAAAGGAAAAGCAAGATCAGAGAAAGGTCGCAGCCTTAGTCATGGCCATCAGACAAACAAATCTTGGTAGTTCAGAGAGGACAGAAAATGGAGCAGGCCAATCACCCGGTAGGGCTTGTTATCACTGTAGTTTACTTGGACACTTTAAAAAGGATTGTCCAATGAGAAACAAGCTGCCCCCTCGTCCATGTCCACTATGCTGAGGCAATCACTGGAAGATGCAATGCCCCAGAGGATGAAGGTTCTCTGGGTCAGAAGCCCCCAACCAGATGATCCAACAACAGGACTGAGGGTGCCTGGGGCAAGAGCCAGCTGTCATCACCCTCACTGAGCCCTGGGTATGTTTAACCATTGAGGGCCAGGAAATTGACTTCCTCCTTGACACTCGCGCAGACTTCTCAGTGTTAATCTCCTGTCCTGGACGACTGTCCTCAAGGTCCATTACCATCTGAGGAATCCTGGGACAGCCTGTAACCAGGTATTTCTCCCACCTCCTCAGTTGTAATTGGGAGACTTTGCTCTTTTCACATGCCTTTCTTGTTATGCCTGAAAGTCCCACACCCTTATTAGGGAGGGATATATTAGCCAAGGCTGGAGCTATTATCTACATGAATATGGGGAACAAGTTACTCATTTGTTGTCCCCTGCTTGAGGAGGGAATCAACCCTGAAGTCTGGGCATTGGAGGGACAATTTGGAAGGGCAAAAAATGCCTGCCCAGTCCAAATCAGGTTAGAAGATCCCACCACTTTTCCTTATTAAAGGCAATATCTCTTAAGGCCTGAAGCTCATAAAGGATTACAGGACATTGTTAAACATTTAAAAGCTCAAGGCTTAGTAAGGAAATGCGGCAGTCCCTGCAACACCCCAATTCTAGGAGTACAGAAACTGAATGGTCAGTGGAGACTAGTGCAAGATCTTAGACTCATCAATGAGGCAGTAATTCCTCTATATCCAGTTGTACCCAACCCCTATACCCTGCTCTCTCAAATACCAGAGAAAGCAGAATGGTTCATGGTTCTGGACCTCAAGGATGCCTTCTTCTGTATTTCCCTGCACTCTGACTCCCAGTTTCTCTTTGACTTTGAGGATCCCACAGACCACACATCCCAACTTACGTGGACGGTCTTGCCCCAAGGGTTTAGGGATAGCCCTCATCTGTTTGGTCAGGCACTGGCCCAAGATCTAGGCCACTTCTCAAGTCCAGACACTCTGGTCCTTCAGTATGTGGATGATTTACATTTGGCTACCAGTTTGGAAGCCTCATGCCAGCAGGCTACTCTAGATCTCTTGAACTTTCTAGCTAATCAAGAGTACATGATGTCTAGGTTGAGGGCCCCGCTTTGCCTAGAGCAAGTCGAATATCTAGCCCTAATCTTAGCCAGAGGGACTAGGGCCATCAGCAAGGAACAAATATAGCCTATACTGGCTTATCCTCACCCTGAGACATTAAAATAGTTGCAGGGGTTCCTTGGAATTATTGGCTTTTGCTGACTATGGCTCTCCAGATACAGCAAGATAGCCAGGCCCCTCTATACTCTAATCAAGGAAACTCAGAGGGTAAATACTCATCCAGTAGAATGGGAATAAGAGGCAGAAACAGCCTTCAAAACCTTAAAGCAGGTCCTAGTACAAGCTCCAGCTTTAAACCTTCTGACAGGACAAAACTTCTCTTCATACATCACAGACAGAGCAGGGATAGCTCTTGGAGTCCTTACTCAGACTCGTGGGACAACCCCACAACCAGTGGCATACCTAAGTAAGGAAATTGATGTAGTAGCAAAAGGCTGGCCTCACTGTTTAAGGGTAGTTGCGGTGGTGGCTGTCTTAGTGTCAGAGGCTATCAAGATAATACAAGGAAAGGATCTCACTATCTGGACTACTCATGATGTAAATGGCATACTAGATGCCAAAGGAAGTTTATAGCTATCAGACAACCACCTACTTAGATACCAGGTGCTACTCCTTGAGGGACCGGTGCTTCAAATACGCACGTGTGTGGCCCTCAATCCTGCCACTTTTCTCCCAGAGGATGGGGAACCAATCGAGCATGACTGCCAACAAATTGTAGTCCAGACTTATGTCACCTGAAATGACCTCTTAGAAGTCCCCTTAGCTAATCCTGACCTTAACCTATATACCGATGGAAGTTCATTTGTGGAGAATGCGATATGAAGGGCAGGTTATGCCATAGTTAGTGATGTAACCATACTTGAAAGTAAGCCTCTTCCCCCCAAGGGACCAGTGCCCAGTTAGCAGAACTAATGGCACTTACCCAAGCCTTAGAACTGGGAAAGGGAAAAAGAATAAATGTGTATACAGATATCAAGTATGCTTATCTAATCCTACATGCCCATGCTGCAATATGGAAAGAAAGGGAGTTCCTAACCTCTGGGGGAACCCCCATTAAATACCACAAGGAAATTATAGAGTTATTGCATGCAGTGCAAAAACCCAAGGAGGTGGCAGTCTTACACTGCCAAAGCCATCAGAAAGGTGAAGGACATAAGGCAGAAGGAAACCATCAGGCAGATGCTGAGGCCAAAATTGCTGCCAGGCAGAACCCCCCATTAGAAATACCTATGGAAGGGCCCTTGGTATGGAACAACCCCCTCCAAGAGATTAAGCCCCAGTATTCCCTGACTGAAGCAGAGTGGGGACTTTCACGGGGGCATAGTTTTCTCCCCTCGGGGTGGTTGGTGACAGAAGAAGGAAAGGTACTTATACCTGAAGCCAGCCAGTGGAAAATTTAAAACCCTCCACCAAACTTTTCATATGGGTATTGAAAACACTAATCAAATGGCCAAATCCCTATTTACAGGGCCAAATCTCCTCTGGACCATCCAACAGGTAGTCAAAACCTGTGAGGTGTGCCAAAAGAATAATCCTTTGGTTTATCGTAAGGCCCCTTTTGGGGAACAAAGAATAGGTCACTATCCCGGAGAGGACTGGCAGTTAGACTTCACCCACATGCCTAAGTCAAAGAGATTTCAATACTTGTTGGTCTGTGTTGATAGCTTTACAAATTGGATAGAAGCTTTCCCCTGCAAGACAGAGAAGGCTCAGGAAGTGATTAAAGTCCTAATTCATGAAATAATTCCTAGATTTGGGCTTCCCCAAAGCTTATAGAGTGACAATGGTCTGGCCTTTAAAGCCACATTAACTCAGGGAATTTCCAGGGTGCTAGGGATACAATATCACCTTCACTGCTCCTGGAGGCCACAATCTTCAAGGAAGGTCAAGAAGGCAAATGAAACACTCAAGAGGCACTTAAAGAAACTAACACAAGAAACTCATCTCCCATGGCCTACTCTTTTGCCCATGGCCCTGTTGAGAATCTGAAATTCTCCTCACAAAATAGGGCTCAGTCCATATGAAATGCTGTATGGACGACCTTTCCCCACAAATGACCTCCTACTTGATCAGGAAATGACCAACTTGGTTAAAGATATAACTTCTTTGGCAAAATATCAACAAAACCTTAAAAACCTACCTGAAGGATGTCACAGAGAAAAGGGAACAGAGTTGTTTCAACCAGGAGATCTAGTGTTGGTCAAATCTCTCCCCTCTACCTCCCCATCTATGGACCCTGTGTGGGAAGGACCATACTCGGTAATCCTCTCTACTCCCACTGCAGTTAAGCTGGCAGGAGTAGAATCTTGGATTAACCACACCCGAGTTAAACTTTGGACATCCCCTGAGGAACCTGAGGGAGCACCAGATCAGGAGTCCCAAGATCAGCCAGACCAGCCTCGATACACCAGTGAACTGTTGGAGGACTTGCACCTCCTATTTTGGAAGGAAACATCCCAGACTAAAAAGGCTTCTACCACTGATCCTGAGGAAAGACCCCTTCCTCCTTAAAAAAGATAAGTGAAAACAGCATACTAACCATACTCTTTGTGATAGGACTAAATACTCTAGCTCCTGCCAGGATGAAAATCCTAATCACATCCACCTTCTTTCTATCTTCCTTCCTTTTGACAGCAATTTACTCCTACCTCTAACTCAGACTAGATAAAATGATCTCATTTTCCAGAGCACCCTCTTTACCTTCCTATTTGCTCTTTGCCTATGTATCCCTCCTGCTTCCTTGGATACCTCATACAATCACCCCTCCCCTTCCACTAGCTCCTAATTACCACTACAAGACTCTCAACTTAACTCACTCTCTGTTAAACCAGTCCAATCCTTCCTGGCAAATGACTGTTGGTTTTGTATCTGTCTATAAACCTCTGCCTATGTTGCCACTCCCATTCCCGCAGAAAACTGGGTCTTTACCAACTAGACCTACAACTCTCGTTATGAAGGAAAAGACCCTTTCTGACTTCTAAATATCCAATCATTAGCTGACTTCCCCATATCTGATAGGACCAAGAATACCCTAACAGGATGTGCAATGCAACTTTCACATTTTTACATTTCCAACCTCACCTATTACACAAGCAATGAAAAGCCCATACAAGGCCCTGTAACCATGAATACTATCTTAATTTTCCAAGCCCCTTTATGCATCCAATGCAATCTGTTATCAGGCCTGCCCTTGGGGCACCTACTACCACGTCAGTGTAATTACACCCTACGACTTCAAGCCCCAACTGATCATAGTAACTTCTGAGTCACCCAAACAGCTCCATTCAGATGGCTTGTCCACTTCTCACGGCCCCCCAAAATCATCACTTCCTCCCTGCTTAACAAACAGTCCAGGTTTTGTAATGGCAAACATACTCCCTGCATGACCATTCACCCCTGGACCCCCTGCAGCAGCGCCCCCACCACTAGTGAATGCCTTCTCATCCCATCTTTCAATCACTCTCTCAAAATGGTCCTAGTGGATACAAAACTTTTTTTCTCCAATGCAAAAATAGAACACAGGGAGCCATTCAGTTTGCTCCCAACACCCCTTCCCAGCCACTCACTGGAGCTACCTTGGCAAGTACTCTAGGAGTATGGGAAAACGAAAACAACAAACTCACACACCTTTTTAACATACATAACCAGTTCTGTCTACCCAGCCAAGGTATATTCTTATGTGGAACACTGACCTATATTTCCCTCCCCACTAACTGGACAGGTACCTGCACCTTAGTCTTTCTAAGTCCCAACGTTAACATTGCCCCAGGAAATCAGACCTTATCAGTACCCCTCAAAGCTCAAGTCCATCAGTGCAGAGCCATACAACTAATACCCCTACTTATAGGGTTAGGAATGGCTACTGCTACAGGAACTGGAATAGCTGGTTTATCTACTTCATTATGCTACTACCACACACTCTCAAAGGATTTCTCAGACAGTGTGCAAGAAATAACGAAATCTATCCTTACTTTACAATCCCAAATAGACTCTTTGGCAGCAGTGACTCTCCAAAACTGCCAAGGCCTAGACCTCCTCACTGCTGAGAAGGGAGGACTCTGCATTTTCTTAGGGGAAAAGTGTCGTTTTTAAACTAACCAGTCAGGGGTAGTATGAGATGCTGCCTGGCATTTACAGGAAAAGGCTTCTGAAATCAGACAATGCCTTTCAAACTCTTATACCAACCTCTGGAGTTGGGCAACACGGCTTCTCCCCTTTCTAGGTCCCATGACAGCCATCTTGCTGTTACTCGCCTTTGGGCCCTGTATTTTTAACCTTCTTGTCAAATTTGTTTCCTCTAGAATCGAAGACATCAAGCTACAGATGGTCTTACAAATGGAACCCCAAATGAGTTCAACTAACAACTTCTACCGAGGACCCCTGGACTGACCCGCTGGCACTTTCACTGGCCTAGAGAGCTCCCCTCTGGAGGACACTACAACTGCAGGGCCCCTTCATTGCCCCTATGCAGCAGGAAGTAGCTAGAGCGGTCATCGGCCAAATTCCCAACAGCAGTTGGGGTGTCCTGTTTAGAGGGGGGATTGAGAGGTGACAGTGTGCTGGCAGCCCTCGCTCACTCTTGGTGCCTCCTCAGCCTTGGCGCCCACTCTGGCCATGCTTGAGGAGCCCTTCAGCCTGCTGCTGCACTGCAGGAGCCCCTCTCTGGGCTGGCCGAGGCCAGAGCCAGCTCCCTCTGCTTGCAGGGAGGTGTGGAGGGAGAGGCGCAGGTGGGAACCGGGGCTGAGGGCAGCGTTCGTGGGCCAGTGCAAGTTCCAGGTGGGTGTGGGCTCAGCAGGCCTCGCACTCAGAGCGGCTGGCCAGTGCTGCCAGCCCTGGGCAGTGAGGGGCCTAGCACCTGGGCCAGCAGCTGCAGAGGGTGCGCCAGGTCCCCCAGGAGTGCCAGCCTGATGGCACTGTGCTCAAATTCTTGCTGGGCCTCAGCTGCCTCCCCACAGGGCAGGGCTCGGGACCTGCTGCCCACCATGCCTGAGCCTCCCCTCCCCACTGTGGGCTCTTGTGTGGCCCAAGCCTCCCCGACGAGCACCGCCCCCTGCTCTGTGGCGCCCGGTCCCATTGACCAACCAAGGGCTAAGGGGTGCAGGTGCACGGTGTGGGACTTGCAGGCAGCTCTGCCTGTGGCCCTGGTGTGGGATCCACTAGGTGAAGCCAGCTGGGCTCCTGAGTTTAGTGGGGACTTGGAGAACCTTTATGTCTAGCTAAGGGATTATAAATACACCAATCAGCACTCTGTGTCTAGCTCAAGGTTTGTAAACACACCAATCAGCACTCTGTATCTAGCTAATCTAGTGGGGACTTGGAGAACCTTTATGTCTAGCTAAGGGATTGTAAACACACCAATCAGCACCCTGTGTCTAGCTCAAGGTTTGTAAATGCACCAATCAGTACTCTGTGTCTAGCTAATCTAGTGGGGACTTAGAGAACCTTTATGTCTAGCTAAGGGATTGTAAATACACCAATGAGCACTCTGTGTCTAGCTCAAGGTTTGTAAATGCACCAATCAGCACTCTGTATCTAGCTAATCTAGTGGGGACTTGAAGAACCTTTATGTCTAGCTAAAGGATTGTAAATACATCAGTCAGCACTCTGTGTCTAGCTCAAGGTTTGTAAACACACCAATCAGCACCCTGTGTCTAGCTCAAGGTTTGTAAATGCACCAATCAGTGCTCTGTGTCTAGCTAATCTAGTGGGGATTTGGAGAACTTTTGTGTCTAGCTCAGGGATTGTAAATGCACCAATCAGCACCCTGTCAAAATGGACCAATTGGCTCTCTGTAAAACAGACCAATCGACTCTCTGTAAAATGGACGAATCAGCAGGATGTGGGTGAGGCCAGATAAGGCAATAAAAACAGGCTGCCAGAGCCAGCAGTGGCAATCCACTCGGGTCCTCTTCCACACTGTGGAAGCTTTGTTGTTTCACTCTTTGCAATAAATCTTGCTGCTGCTTACTCTTTGAGTCTGCACTGCCTTTATGAGCTGTAACACTCACCACGAAGGTCTGTGGCTTCACTCCTGAGGCCAGCGAGACCACGAACCCACCGGGAGGAATGAACAACCCCAGATGGGAGGAGCGAATAACCCCAGACATGGCACCTTAAAAGCCGTAACACTCACTGCAAAGATCTACAGCTTCACTCCTGAAGCCAGCGAGAACATGAATCCACCAGAAGGAAGAAACTCTGAACACGTCTGAACATCAGAAGGAAAAAACTCCAGACACACCACCTTTAAGAATGGTAACACTCACTACAAGGGTCCACAGCTTCACTCTTGAAGTGAGTGAGACCAAGAACCCACCAATTCCGGACACAGTACTTTTTTTTTTTTTTTTTTTGAGATAGAGTCTCACTCTGTCGCCCAGGCTGGAGTGCAGTGGCGCCATCTCAGCTCACTGCAGCCTCCACCTCCCAGGTTCCAGCGATTCTCCTGCCTCAGCCTCCCGGGTACCTGAGATTACAGGCACATGCCACCATGCCTGGCTAATTTTTTGTATTTTTAGTAGAGACAGGGTTTCACCATGTTGGCCAGGATGGTCTCGAACTCCTGACTTCAGATGACCTGCCCGCCTTGGCCTCTCAAAGTGCTAGGATTACAGGCATGAGGCACTGCACCTAGCCCAGATTTTTGTATTATAGATTTGGTTACTGTTCAGGGCCTATTTGAATAGCCTTCCACCACAATTTGCCTTTACCTTCAAAGGGACACAGTATACCTGTTATAGGCTCAATTTTGCCTCTCCAAAACTCATATGCTGAAATCTCAACCCTCAGTAAGTGGCATGTGTCTGTATTTAGAAATAGGGCTTTTAAAGAGGTAATTAAGGTAAAATGATGTCACATGGGTGGGCTGAGATCCAATATGATTGGTGTTCTCATAAGAAGAGTTTAGGACGCAGACAACACACAGGTGGAGGATGAGAGCTAAAGAGAGAGGCCTCAGAAGAAACCGAACCTGCTGACACCTTGATCTTGCACTTCTAGCCTCAAAGACACTCAAGAATAATATTTATATACATCGTCTCTATGAGACAAAATGTTCCCAGAATTCTTTACCCAAAAAGTTCCAACCTTGTACAAGGAATTGTTTCTGCCAACAGTGATCAGTCCAGGCAGCCAGGCCACTGAATGGCACAAGAATCTATAAAAATGTGCAGATAGAGATGGATATTGCATAATGACTGTCTTAGTCTGTTCATGCTGCCCTAACAAAATACCTTAGACTGGGTAATTGATAAAGAACAGAAATTTATTTCTTACAGTTCTAGAGGCTGGGAAGTCTAAGATCAAGGTACAAGCATTGGTGTCTGATGAGGGCTTCTCTCTGTTTCCAAGATGGCACCCTGTTGCTGTATCCTCCAGAGGGGAGGAACACTGTGTCCTCATGTGGAGGAGGAGCAGAAAAGCAAGAGAGCACTCCTTTCAACCTCAAACCCTTTTATAAGTGTGCTAATACCATTCATGAGAGCAAAGCCCTCATGACTTAATCACCTCCCAAAGGCTACATCTCTTAATACTGTTGCAGTCGGGATTACACTTCAACATGAATTTTGGAGAAGACAGAAACACTCAAACCATAGTAATGAGTGACCAAGGCACTCATTTCACTTCTCAGCCTACACAGTGTTGGACTTTCAAATAATGCTTCCAATGGAACTTTCACCTCCCTTACTGGCTTCAGGCTACAGGCTTTACAGGGTACCATAATGGCTTATTTAAGTATGAAATCCGTTAAATTAAACATGGTGCATTTCAGTCATCAGTCATATATCAGGATTTAATTGTAATAAAGAATGTGACTCCATTTATTTTTAACATTTTGCTGCTGACAACTTTTAAGCCTCACCCTCCCTTTTCCCCTTCTGCCACATATCTGAGCAAGCTGAATAAGAAAGCTCAAGTTTTTCTTCCCTTGGCACCTATGGAAAGTTTAAAACCTCACATAGGAACCCTGACCCAGCCCCACCACTAATCACCATGAAAACCTCAAGCCAGTTTCCTTTTCTGGCCCTCGCAAGCCATTTTTGGAACACTTGGGAGTGCCTCCCTGCTTTCCCCAGCAAATCTTGTTTTTTTTTTTTTGTTTTTTTTTTTTTTTTTGAGACGGAGTCTCGCTGTTGCCCACGCTGGAGTGCAGTGGCGCAATCTCGGCTCACTGCAGGCTCCACCCCCCAGGGTTCTCACCATTCTCCTGCCTCAGCCTCCCAAGTAGCTGGGACTACAGGCGCCCGCCACCTCGCCCGGCTAATTTTTTGTATTTTTAGTAGAGATGGGGTTTCACCGTGTTAGCCAGGATGGTCTCGATCTCCTGACCTCGTGATCCGCCCATCTCGGCCTCCCAAAGTGCTGGGATTACAGGCGTGAGCCACTGCGCCCGGCCTCCCCAGCAAATCTTATTGTATGAGTAATAAACTTCTTCATACCCTGTTGGGTGTGTGTGTGTGTGTGTGTGTGTTCATCAATCTTGACATTTGAACCAAATTTTGTATGGGGGTCCATCCTACATTTTCAAAGTGGCTAGACAACTCATTAAATGAGAATAATCTTGTTTAAAACCATCAACAAGTTGATAAAGTATTAAGCAGTGTTCTAGAACACTTTACTATCACTCTCTCCTCCCAATTAACATGTTTTTCTTTAGTTCTGTTTCCTTTTTAACCTATAAATAAGATAGCACTATTTTTAGTATCTTATAAAGACAATGTTTACCTATATGTTTACCAACATATTTGAGCACCATTTCTTTTTTCTGTCTCCTACCTGCTGTCTGTAGTCATTTTCTTTATTTATTTCAGCAATTCTTTTATCTTACACATTTCACTGTTGTCACCTCTTCATAGATGATCTGCCTGGCCTTTATGCCTGCTTTTATGAGCTTCTCCTTGGTTTTATGCTGTTTCATCACAAAGTGTGAAGGTGTACTTTTTTCCTAATTTATCCTGCACGGTATTTGCGTTGGTTTGGTTCCCTCTGTGTAGATTCATATTTTTCATCTATTTTTAGCTATTATTTCTGCAAATATTCACTCTCTTAAATTTCCTCTATTCTGACTTTGTAGCAGTTCCTTTGCCTTATATTGAATCTTATTCTTTCCTTCATATTTCTAAAACTTTCTTCTATATTTTTGTCTTCTCTATGTACTATATTCTAAGTGATTTATTTTGGCTTATCTTCCAGTTCACATCTTTCTTCAGCTATGTCTGATCTGCTATTTAATATTGATTTTTTAAAACAATTTTATTTTTTATACCTAAAATTTCTATTTTTTTCAAAATGATCCTAGTAATTTCCTGAGGTCTCTGCTTTTGCATTTTAGATTCTGTTTTTTTTTATATTTTTAGACACTTCATTTTTAGTTATATTGTGTTCTCTGTTTCTTAGTTTCAATATCCAAAACCCTTGGGGAAATCTCTCTTGTTTTTGCTAAATTTCAGTCATACAGTCATCTCTTTTGTGGTTTTGTTGATCTTTATTTTGAGCTAAATTTGCTTGAGCTTAATCTATGAAAATCTTGCAGTCTAAATAGAAGTTGTTATCTTCCAGAGAGGATTTGCACCACTTCTACTAAAAGCCAGGAGTTGCTCTCAATCTGGAATCACTTGAGTTCAGTTTAACGATTCCACATTGCAACCAACCGACGACACTGTCTCTTCTTTCTACACTAATATCAGCACTTCTTTTTTTTTTAGGCAACTTCACTTTTCCAGCTTGTTCTGCAGTTACCGCTCAGTGGTCCTACTCTAGCCTAAACTCACGTATCAATTTGCATAATATGTGTTTATTTAGGAGGTGATTCTTGGAGATTTTCTTAACTCCCTTGAGTCTAGCAATGCATTAGAAAAATGCATGTTTTATTTAGGATCTAGTTAATTTGTAGGAGGAATGCCTTCAGAATTAACCTTACTTCTAGAAGCAGAAATTTAAAGATCAGAATTTCAGCTCATTGAACCAGAGATATTCAGGAGTAGGAGTAAGATGTGCCTCTTAACTTATGCTCCAGAAGCAATTGCCTCCTCAGTCTATACATCACAGGGACAGCCCTCTCATACATTTAAGTGGAAATAGAAGACTCATCATTATATAACTTTTCTAGATTATATTTCTTGCATTGTCTTGAATTATATTTTTATTTAAAAATGTTTCATTTTTAAAGTGATTTTGAGGCCGGGCGTGGTGGCTCATGCCTGTAATCCCCGCATTTTGGGAGGCCAAGGAGGGCGGATCATGAGGTCAGGAGATCGAGACCATCCTGGCTAATATGGTGAAACCCCGTCTCTATTAAAAATACAAACAATTAGCCAGGTGTGAGGGCGGGCACCTGTAGACCCAGCTACTCGGGAGGCTGAGGCAGGAGAATGGCATGAACCCGGGAGGTGGAGCTTGCAGTGAGCTGAGATCGCACCACTGCACTCCAGCCTGGGCAAGAGAGCAAAACTCCGTCTCAAAAAAAAACAAAAAACAAAAAAAAACACCTGATTTTGATTATCTCTTTTGTTTGTTCATTTTATTTTATTTTGCTTTTTGTTTCGTTTTAGGGCATTTAGTACTAGTTTTCAAAAAGTCTTGTTATACTGGTAATAATTTTTAAAGAGATACCTCCCCAAACTGTTTGTGTTCTCATTATAATAAACTAAAAAGAAAAGTTAAACTCTTTGTCTGGTTATGTCAATCTGGAGAGTTGATTTATACCTTGAAGAAGATTAGTTTTGACTCAGCATTTTGTAACTACTAAATTTTCATTTAACAGTACATCTTTCCTGAGCTACAATTTCCAACTGGTATAATTATTGTACAGAATTTTGAGTAGCTGTATTGCACCTTGGTCGCTTATCATATAACTAATAAGTTATAATTATAGCAACAAAACACTTTGAAAAGCAAAATTAGTTTAGTGGCAATCAAATTCAAAAATCCATTCAAAGAAAGCTAAGTAATAACTGTAATTGAGTCATATGTAAAATGAAAAAGCTTCAAAACATAATGTTTTAAAACATCTTGTAGAAAAGTGACACAGCATCTTTGATTTTCTTGTTATGTTGCTCTTTAGCTATAAAGATAAAAAAATTGGAGCAAGATGATTGACTAGAGATGCTGAGCATGCATGTCTGTGACAAGAAAGGACCAAGGCAACAACAAATAAACAGCTAAGATTTGACTGGAGTGTCAAAGGGAGAGGACTGGAGTGCAGTAGGGGAGTGGAGATACACTTGCAGTGACTGGAATTCCAGGAGGTCATCACCTCCGTTGTGTTGTCTCCACCACTTGGAATAGATTGGCCCAGAGTTAGGAGAGACTTCCAGTTGCAGGAAAAAGGTAAGCAGATGATCCCGCCACTCTCCAGTGCCACTGAAAACACCTACCATTCTTACTACAGGGGAAGCTCCATAGTACTCAACAAGCCTTGAGCCCAGATTGGAAGGCTGCTGGGAATTCATGCAGACGCATTGCCTCAGACTAGGCACACAAGGTGTGCACCATCTGCCCCTCACCAACCCCTGTGAGACAAGCTGCTGCAGCATAGTGCCATCTTGAGACCAGAGCCACCTCTAGAGTGCACCCTCCTCTGGGACCTGGTAGCCACTATACTTCCTCAGTACTGTAACTCCATTTTCATTATGCCAAGCCCATACTGATGGCTAAATGCCACAACCAGCTGTGAGGAGCCTGGGTCCAGGATCAGCTATGATTTGGCTGAGTTGATGTCTGTTCCCCAACCTAGCAGCTGTGCACCCACATCCTAGACTTAAGAAATAACCCTGTGGGCCATACCGAGCAGAAATGTCCCTAGACCAGCCAAAAAGCCATATGACCACATCCTGAGCCTGAGAAACACCCGTGTGGGCCACCCCAAGCAAACATATCCCCAGGTCAACTGGGCAGTCATGCCGCTGTGTCCTGAGCCTGAGAAACAGCCCCATGGGTCACCCCAAGCAGATATGTGCCATACTGGGCCAGCCCAGTAGCTATGTGCCCACATAGCAGAACTAAAAAACAGCCTGTCAGGATGCCTCTGGTAAGCACATCCCCAAGCCAGCCAAGTAGCCTTGTGCCCCATCCCAGGCCTGAGAAACAATCTTGTGGGCTGCCTCTGACAAACACATTCCCAAACCAACCAAGCAACCACATGCCCATGCTCCTGGCCAGAGTAACAGCCCTATGGCCCCAACCCCAGTGAGCCAGATATGAAGTCAGCCAAACCACCATGTGCGTAAAAATGACCCTGACCTGAGAAATAGCCTGGCAAGCCCATTCCTGGAGAGCCACACCACAAATTCTGTCAGTCTAAGCTGATGATAAACTTACAAATGTTACCAGTGTGGATTACAGCTAAAGAAACTACATGGAGAGTTACACTACTGCATCTAGAACCAAGGCCAATATACTCCATCAAACCAACACAGCAATGCTCATTTATGCAAATAGCTCTTTTGATATGAAGCCTATTCAATTAAAGAGAAAAGTCATCTTTTCCAGTACATGCATAGAAGTCAACACAGGGACACATCAACCATGAATAAGCAAGAAAACATGTCACCTTCAAAAGGAAACAATTCTCCAGAAACAGATCCCAATCATAAATATATGAAACGCCAGAAAAAGAAATCAAAAGAATATTCTTAAGGAAACTCAGTGAGATACAAGAGAATGTAATAGATAATTCAACAAAATCAGAAAAGCTATTCATGATTTCAATGATAAATTCAACAGAGTTAGATATAAGAAAGAACCAAATAGAAATCCTAGAGCTGAAGAACTCAATGAATGAAATAAAAAAAAAAATTAAGAGCTTCAACAAAGACTAGACCAAGCAGAAGAACTTCTGAACTTGAAGACAGTCTTTTAAAATAGCAAAGGCAAACAAGAAAAGAAAGAGAAAAAGCCTACAGGATTTATGAGACAAAATTAAGCAAACACATTTTTGTATTATGGGCATTCCAGAAGGAGAAGAGAAAACAAAAAGTGAGGAAAATATATTTAATAAAATAATAGCAGAAAATTTCCCAAATATTGGGAAAGAGATCGACATCCAGCTCTGGGAAGCTCAAATAACCCTAAATACATTCAACTCAAACAGGTTATCTCCAAGGTACATTATAATCAAATTGTCAAAAGGCAAACACAAAAGAATAATTATAAAAGCAGTAAGAGGAAAATAGTAAGTCAATATAAGTGAATCCCCATTAGTAAAACAGCAGATTTCTCATTCAAAACCTCATAGGTGAGGAAATAAGATGATATATTCAAAGTACCAGAAAAAAAAACCCTGGCTGCCAAGAATATTATACTCAGCCAAGCTATCATTCAGAAACGAGGGATAAACAAAATCTTTTACAAACAAGCAAAAACTAAGAAAATTTATCACTACCAGGCCAGCCTTACAAGAAGTGCCCAAGGAAACTTTACATCTGGAAGTGAAAAAATAATAATCACCATCATAAAAACATGCAAAACTATAAAGCTCACAGGTAGAAGAAGGAACCAAAGGTTATCACTACAGACAACCACTCAATCACAAAAATAAACAATAAGAGAGGAAGTAAGGAACAAAGGATATGTTAAAAAAAAACAGCAAATAGTCAATAAAATGGCAGGAGTAAGTCCTCGCCTATTAATAATAACCTTGAATATAAATTAATTAAATTCCCTATTTAAAAGGTATAGATTGACTGAATAAGAAAAAAAAAGAACCAATTATATGCTGCCTACAAGAAACTCAAATCACCTGTAAAGACATGCATAGGCTAAAAGTGAAGGGATGGCAAAAGATATCCATGCAAATGGAAACAAAAGTGGGCAAGAGTTCTATACTTAGACAAAACAGACTTGAAATTAAAATCTGTAAAAAGAGAAAAAGAAGGACACTATATAATAATAAAGGGATCAATTCAGCAAGAAAAATATAACAATTGCAAATATATATGCACTGAACACCAAAGTACCCAGACATATGCAGGAAATATTATTAGATTAAAATGAAGAGATAGACCCAATAGAATAACAGTTAAGGACTTCAACACCCTACTGTCAGCATTAAACAGATAATCTAGATAGAAAATCAACAAAGAAACATATTTAAACTGCACCATAGACCAAATGGACCTCACAGACATTTACAGAACACTTCACTCAACTACAGAATACACAATTCTTTTTTTTTTTGCTTTAAATTGTGCTTTAGTTTCTGCAATCAGATATGATGCAGTGAGATACAAGTATAAACTTTCATTGTGCATCCAGAAAATAAAAAGCACATGTATACAGGTTTAGCTCAACAGCCTATTCCCTTATAAAGAAAAAAAAGTTTTGAATTTAATTAAAGCTAGTTTATCCTCAGTGTAAAAACTTGGAGATACAAACAAACTCTAGATATTATGTACAGTAAATTAATGTGCATTTCCAAACTTGCACAGTACAGCATATTAAACAAAGTAAATGGTCTCATTTCAGCTTTCACTGTTAAGCATAATCCACATCTCAATCTCAGATAAAAATCTCACAATGTATAAACCCATTGATAATTCTGTACACAAATACAAGTTATGGAAATCTGATTTCAAATATAAGTACAATAATTGTCATGACCTTACACGTTAAAACAGCTTATTTTTCTATTGTAATTTAAAAAAAATCATAGAAAAGTATTTCAATGAACATTCAACTGCTATGACAAAGGCCATGACCTTGTGCCTTTAAACCATACTTTGTGGAGTGTAAAGCATCACACCAGGCATTTTTGGAATGAAAATCATGAAGCCTGAAGAGGCTACCATATACATATTCATGTTACAATGTGGTAACAAAAATAGCTCCATAGCATATTTGGGAGGCAATGGGGCAGAGAAGGAAGTGGAGGTTAGTGCTAATTTAAGAAGGCCTATAGAATGTATGTGCAGGTAGCTAAGGAACTAGTTAGTGTATTTTAAAATCCCTATTGCAAGCCTAACACTGGCCTTGCTAGTAACTCTTAAGGCAACCAATGCAGAACATGTGTTTAGCCCCCAGACGCGTGAATCCTGCCCTCCCCTCAACGTTTGTTGTTATGGGAAGTCAGGGATCCTGAACAGAGGGACCGGCTGGAGCCACAGCAGAGGAACTTAAATTGTGAAGATTTCATCTTAATATGGACATTTATCAGTTCTCAAATAATTCTTTCATAACTTCTTATGCCTGTCTTTACTTTAATCTCTTAATCCTGTTATCTTTGTAAGCTGAGGATATACATCGCCTCAGGACCACTGTGATAATTGTGTTAACTGTAGAAATTGATTGTAAAACATGTGTGTTTGAACAATATGAAATCAGTGCACCTTGAAAAAGAACAGAATAATAGCGATTTTTATGGAATAAGGGAAGACAACCATAAGGTCTGACTGCCTGTGGGGTCGGGCAAAAAGAGCCATATTTTTCTTCTTGCAGAGAGCTTATAAATGGATGTGCAAGTAGGAAACATATTGCTAAATTCTTATCCTAGCAAAGAATATGAATATTAATACCCTGGGAAAAGAATGCATTCCTGGGGGGAGGTCTATAAACAGCTGCTCTGGGAAAGTCTGTCTTGTGCAGTTGAGATAAGCCCTGGTCTCCTGCAGAACCCTCAGGCTTACTAGGGTTGAGAAAACTCAACCCTGGTAAACTTGTGGTCAGATCAGTTCTCTGCTCTTGAACCCTATTTTCTATTGTTTAAGATGTTTATCAAGACAATACATGCACTGCTGAACATAGACCCTTATCAGTGGTTCTGCTTTTGCCTTTTGCCCTGTGATCTTTGTTGGACCCTTGTCAGCGGTTCTGCTTTTGCCCTTTGCCCTGTTCCCTCAGAAGCATGTGATCTTTGTTAGGCCTTTATCAGTGGTTCTGCTTTTTGCTCTTTGAAGCATGTAATCTTTGTACCTACTCTCTGTTCTTATACCCCCTCCCCTTTTGAAACCCTTAATAAAAACTTGCTGGTCTGAGACTCAGGCAGGCATCACAGTCCTACCGATATGTGATGTCACCTCCTGGTGGCCCAGCTGTAAAATTTCTCTCTTTGTACTGTCTCTATTTCTCAGCCAGCAGACACTTACAGAAAATAGAAAGAACCTACGTTGAAATATTGGGATTTGCTTCTCCCAATATCTGGCATGCCAATGTGGTTTTCTTTTTCCTAAGTGCATGTGGGAACCCAATTCCCTCTGGTAGGTTTGTAGAAACGTTCATCAGTCCGGTTCACAGAAATGCTTGTCCAGCTCCCTGACGATTGGTGAGTTGTCTATGTATTGTCCGGGGTAACTATAGGTCATGCAGAGTCTAAACGTTATGCTTATCTCTGCTATATTAAAATCCTGTTAAAGCAGGGGGAGTTTGGGTACCCATGGAAAATATGGTCACCCTATTCAGGGTGGTGGAAGAACACTGTTCTTGGTTCCCTGAAAAGGGAACATTAGATGTGAAACTACGGGATCACGTTGGTGCAAAATTCTGGGAACTGGTCCTGAAAGGAAATTATGTTCCTGTCACTGTTCAGGGTGATTGGGCCTTGGTATGTGCCATCCTAATGACATGCCAATACTGTGGCCCCCTGCACTTACCACAGTTTTCTGAATCTGGCAACTCTCTACCTCTTCCTCAGCTTTCATCTCCCGCTTGGCCTTCGTTATCTGCTCAGCCTCTCCCTTCATCTTCTCCTCCCCCACCTGAGGATATTGAGGATCCAATATCTAACTCTGGTGATTTTGTCTTAACGTCACCCCTGATGATCTTATTTCTTTTCATGAGGAGCCAGTACTTGTAGCTCCCACGGCCCCAACTCGGACAGCCCAGGACCATATCTATGCTAACTCTTCCCTCTTCAAACCTTTGCAGCCTTTGCCTCTGGAGCCATGTAATGGCTCCGGGACCAAACTACAATTTACCTGTAATTCTGCAGGCCCTCCCCTCTCCACCACAGCCCCTCACTCTCCTGTCATTTTGGTCCCTCAACCGGTCATTTTGCCATCCACTCAACTTGCTTCTCTGTAGCCTTCTTCACATATGGACACCCCTGCCACTGTGGTTGCACAGGATTGGGACAATAATCACCAGTATACTTCTGCCTCTTCTGCTCCTCCAGTGCCCCTTTCTCACACTCTCATACCGGTCTCACCTACTCAACCTCAGTTTCCTTTATCTACACATACTTTTCCTGTCACTTCTATGCTGACTTCATCTCATGTGCCTGTTCTTGAAACTTCTATGCAATGCTTATTATGCCAGAACAAAGAAACAAGTGGATTAGAGGTGTGGGCTTATGCGGTTGCGCTGGAACCTCCCAATGCTCAAGGGGTACAAGTGCATTGATATACGCCACTCAATCTTACCTTTTTAAAAGAATTCAAGGATGCTTGTACTCAGTATGGTCCTACTTCTCCATATGTTAAAATGGTATTACAGACTCTTTGTAGAGAGGTCATTTTGCTTCCTTTAGATTGGGGCCCTTTGGCAAAAGCTATTCTAACTCCATCTCAGCATTTATAGTTCCATACATGGTGGTCAGAGGAGGCCCATCTGCAGGCTCAGCTAAATGGGGCTGATGGCATTCCAATTACTCAGGCTCAGTTCACAGGCTCTGATAATTACTCTGACACTACCACCCAATTAGGTTTTGATGCTCTCACCATGGAACAAGTAACAAAGGTGTGTATGAGAGCTTGGGATAAATTATGCACCCTGGGCCAAGCTCCTGTTTCTTTTACTACTGTTAAACAGGGTCACAATGAATTACATCCTGATTTTTTGGCTAAATTACAAGATGCTGTTGAAAAATCTGTCTCTGATGAGCGTGCTGAAGACATTCTCCTTCGTATGTTAGCTTTTGAGAATGGGAACCATGAGTGTAAAATGGCCATGCATTCCATCCAATGACAAAATTTACCTGATCACAAGGTGTTGCTTGCATATATTAAAGCTTGTGAAGGCATTGGATCAGAGACCCACAAAGCTATTCTGTGGGCACAGGCCATGAAGCACAGCAATCAAACTGGCTCGACTGATTCTTTTCTTGGAGCCTGCTATAATTGTGGTCAACTTGGTCATACTTGAAAAAATTGCACTGTTAAAAACAGTGGCCAAGCCAGCTCAACAAACATGGCCAAATGCTCCTGCTACTGTTTGCCCTCGTTGTCATAAAAGTAAACATTGGGCAAGTACTTGCCACTCTAAGACTGATATAGATGGAAATCCCTTGCCACAGAACCAGGGAAACAGGAAGCAGGCCCAGTCCCAGGCCCCAGTATCAAATGGGACACCTCAGACTCAGACCAATGTTGCATTTCTGCTTCAAGCAGTCCCAACACAGCCCCCAGCACAAACAAATTTACCTACAGTCAATCCAGATGGGTTCCAGCCTCTTCTTCTGTCCCAGTACAATGCTTGTCCACCTCCACAGTAGGGGGCAGGGCGGTCGATCTCTGTAGTTCCATTCCTCTAAATTTACTACCTAATTCTTTGCCTTTAATTGTCCCCACGGGGGTCACCGGCCCTTTACCTCAAGGTTCAGTGGACCTGGTGTTAGGTAGGGCATCCACTACTACTAAAGGTATCACAGTTCATACTGGTCTCATTAATTCTGATTCCTCTGACAAGATTAAACTTATGGTGTCTACCAAGGTTCCTGTCTCCATTCCGGCTGGTGAGTCAATTACTCAATTACTTTTACTACCTAATATTGTTTTAAACAATGGAGATAAGACACAGGGACCTGGGATGGGCTCTGGCAGTGAAAAAGCCACTTATTGGATTAATGTAATTTCTAAACAATGGCCCACCTGCACCATACCCATTCAAGGAAAAAAGTTTGAGGGCCTAGTAGATACTGGGGCTGATGTTTCTATTATTTCCTCTAATTTATGGCCTTCCTCCTGGCTTAAACATCCCACTAACATGGGACTAGTAGGGGTTGGAAAAGCTGATGAAGTTCACCAGAGCACATTTATCTTGCCTTGCACTGGCCCTGATGGTCAAAAGGGTACAATTCAGCCTTATATCGTGCCAATCCCCATTAATCTTTGGGGTAGAGACTTGCTGGCACAATGGGGGGCTGAAATTAAAATTCCACATAACTCTTATAGCGCTTCCAGTCAACATATAATGGAAAACATGGGGTTTGTTCCTGGACTTGGTCTTAGTCCAAAACATGAAGGAATTACTAAACCTCTTCAAATCACTGTAAAAGAAGACAGGGCTGGTTTAGGTTATCCTTTTTAATGATGGCCACTGCTACACCTCCTGATCCTGTTCCTCTACAATGGAAATCTGAAACTCCTGTTTGGATTGAGCAGTGGCTGCTCTCTAAAGAAAAACTGGAGGTTTTAACTCAATTAGTTTCTGAACAGTTACAACTTGGAAATGTGGAACCTTCTTTTCCCCTGGAATTCTCCTGTGTTTCTAGTAAAAAAGAAATCAGGCAAGTGGAGGATGGTAACTGATTTAAGGGACATTAATGCTGTAATTAAACCTATGGGAGCCATCCAACCCGGCATGCCTGCCCCTGCTTTAATACCTAAGAATTGGCCTCTCATAGTTATTGATCTTAAAGACTGTTTCTTTCATATTGCTTTACATAAATTGGATTGTGAAAAAATTTGCTTCTACTGTACCATCTATCAATAATCAGGAGCCTGAAACTTGTTAACAATGGAAAGTACTCCCTCAGGGAATGCTGAATAGCCCTACCATCTGCCAGCTTTGTGTTGGACAGGTGCTTTCACCAGTTTGAGCTCAATTTCCCCAGGCCTATATTCTTCATTATATTGATGATATATTAACTGCTGCCCCCACTGATAAAGAATTAATTGACTGTTATCAATTTCTGAGCCACCATGTTGCAGAGGCTGGATTACACATCACTCAGGATAAAATTCAACAGACCACTCCTGTTCAATATTTAGGACTGGTGGCCGATAAAGAATGTATTCAGCCTCAAAAGTTTCAGATTAGGAGTGATTCTTTAAAAACCTTAAATGATTTCCAAAAACTTTTAGGTAACATTAATTATTTAAGACCTACTTTAGGCATTCCAACATAGGCACTGTCTAACTTGTTTTCTATGCTGTGCAGAGATTCCAATCTCTGCAGTCCCAGGACTTTGACCCCTGAGGCTTCACTGGAACTGGAATTCATGGAGGAAAGAATCCAAACTGCCCAGTTGTCTAGGGTACAGCCGTCTCAGCCTTTACAGCTTCTGGTTTTCACTTCATTGAACTCCCCTACTGGACTAATAGTTCAACATAATGATTTAGTGGAGTGGTGTTTTCTTCCTCATTCTGTGTCAAAAACTTTGTCTGTTTATCTGGACCAAATGGCCACCCTAATTGGACAAGCTCAGTGTAGAATACTTAAAATTTCCAGATTTGATCCTAATTTAATTGTGGTTCCTTTAAATCAGCTCAAAGTCCAGGCCGCTTTTCAACATTCCATACTGTGGCAAATTCACTTGACTGATTTTATCAGTGTTATGGACAATCATTCAAAAAACAAATTGTTTGATTTTATAAAAATGACTTCTTGGGTGGTCCCTCGATTGACCAAATATCAGCCCATTCCTGAGGCCATTACAGTGTTCACTGATGTCTCCAGTAATGGAAATGCTTGTTATGTGGGTCCTACAGACAAGCTTATTTCTACTCCTTATACCTCTGCTCAAAAGGCAGAGTTAATTGCTGTAATTACTGCCTTACAGGATTTCTCCAAACCTTTAAATATTGTCTCTGATTCTGCTTATATTGTACATGCCACTAAAAATATAGAAACTGCTAGTATCAAACATATTGATAATTCTGAATTGGATTCTTCATTTTCAAGGTTACAACAGGTGGTTCACCAATGTAGACACCCTTTCTATATTACAAATATTAGATTTCATAACACTGTACCAGGACCCATGTCTGCTGGAAACCGTAAGGTCAACTGTTTGGTCTCTTTTGCAATCTAAGAGGCTCAGGAGTTCCATAATCTCACTCATGTCAATGTGGCTGGATTAAAAGATAAATTTGCTCTCACCTGGAAGGAGGCTAAGCTTATTGTCCACTGCTGCCCTCAGTGACAAATTTTTGTACTTCCAAATCAGGAACCTGGCATTAATTCCAGAGGCCTAACTCCTAATGATTTATGGCAAGTGGATGTGACTCATGTTAGCTCCTTTGGCAGACTTTCATATGTACATGTTTCTGTAGACACCTTTTCAGGTATTATTTGGGCTACTTGCCAAACAGGGGAAGGCATGGCCCATGTTAAAAGACATCTGTATTCTTGCTTTGCAGTTTCGGGGCTTTCATATGAGATAAAGATAGACAATGCCCCTGGATATGTTAGTAAGGCTTTGATTTATTTATGCAACAATGAGGAATTTCTCATATTACTGGAATCCCTTACAATCCTCAGGGACAGGCTGTGGTGGAACAGGCCAATCGCACTTTAAAAACTCAATTGTCCAAACAGTCTGAGCAACAAAAGCATAATTTAACCACTCCCCACTCCCAATTACATTTAGCATTATTTACTTTAAACTTTCTAAGTGTTCCTAAAGACAATACTCTGACTGCAGCTGAACGCCATTATACAGGCAAAAAATTGTCCCTAAATGAAGGCAGGCCAGTGTTATGGGAAAACTCCCAGACCAATACCTGGGAACCTGGAACAATTATAACGTGGGGAAGAGGGTATGCTTGTGTTTCACCAGGAGATCATCAATCCCCTGTCTGGGTGCCCAGTAGGAGACTTAAACTTCATGCGCATTCTGACAATGAAAAGCACAGGGAAGAGACATCCACATCAGAGACCACCCTCATACCTGGTGAGATCTGTGCCAACTCTTCAGAAAATGACATGCCAAATCAAAATGGGTCTGGTTCAATCCTCCCTAATGGCAACGGAGACCCCTCTAACTAATTCCACTTCTCCTAATTCCCTTTTTCTTCTTATGAACCTAAAAATCTCACCATTTCTATTAACCTGAAAATAACATCCCCCTCTTCTTCTCTTCCTCCTTCAGCAGTGGATCTCGGTTACAATAGGTTTTATTTAATAATTCTCCTCTTTATACTTTCTGTCTCACCAGTTTCCCCTCAAACTGATTCACCTACTACACAAAATTATTCTTATTGGGCTTATGTGCCTTTTCCTCTACTTATTTGACCTCTCATCTGGATGGATGCTCCTGTGGAAATCTATACGAATGATAGTGTGTGGATGCCTGGAGCTACAGATGACCATTGCCCCACTCAACCAGAAGGCGGCACTACATTTAATGTTACTATGGGTTATAAATACCCTCCTCTGTGCCTTGGACATGCACCTGGTTGTATCCATCTAGAAACTCAAGTCTAGGCTGCTTACCTTCTGGAGAGATCAGCCACAGGGGAACAGGGACATTTGTTCTCTGGCCTCTCCCTTTCTCCTTTAAGACAAATGAAAGGGGGAGTGATAGGAGATACCCCATACTTTCAATACAAACCTGTAGGAAAACCATGTCCTAAAAATTTTGAGGGCCCATCTAAAACTTTAATTTGGGAAGACTGTGTTAACTCACATGCAGTAGTATTAAAAAATGACTCATATGGTTTAGTAATAGACTGGGCACGAAAGGGCTATTTAAAAAACAATTGCTCCTCTGGCAGAAGGGAATGCCTGGAGGCTACTTATTTTATTTCTTATTGGGAGGATGAGGATCATCATCCTACTTTGCATAGGAGGTTCATCTCATTCTTTCCATTAAAATAGGAAGATAGGGGCATTACTCCCCCGAGGCCTCATATGATATTCCCCATTCTGAGCCCAGAACACCCAGAACTTTGAAAATTGGCTATTGCCATGTCTGGACTGCAAGTATGAGAAGGGGAAACTTTTCTGTCTGTTGTCCCCACTACTGCCCCTCACATATGTGATTCTGAACCCCATGATAAAAATCCCCTTTGAACCCTCTTCCTCTTTTTGATGCCAGTCCTCCTTTATGGGGCTCTGATTGGTATTATGATAATTCTTCTCGACCCAGGTATGCCCCTCTACCTCTTCGGCATCCCTGGGCACTTTGGATTGCTTCTTTACGGTGGAGAACATTGGGCATTGCCACCACCGCTCCTTCCCCTCAGTATCAACATAGATTCAAATATTCTGCTTTGTTTACCTCCAGCCTGACTATTCCTATACAGAGTTGTGTTACGCCTCCTTACATGCTGTTAGTGGGAAACATCAAAATTTGGATGAGCAATCAAACTGTCCAATGCATTAATTGTCATTTATACACTTGTGTTAACTCCCGTTTTGACTTCAGGAAAAGTGTAATGTTGGTTCAAACTCAAGAGGGAATCTGGATACCAGTAACTTTACCCAGACCTTGGGAATCTTCCCCATCAGTACATTTAATTAATGAAGTGTTACAACAAATTCTCAAAAGATCTAAGAGATTTGTTTTCACTTTAATCGCTGTGATCATGGGCCTAATTACAGTCACTGCACTGGCCACCACTGCTGGAATGGCATTACACCAATCTATTCAAATGGCTCATTTTGTTAATGATTGGCAAGCCAATTCCACCCAAATATGGAATTCTCAACAGGACATTGATCAAAAATTAGCTAATCAAATTAATGATTTAAGACAGTCTGGTATTTGGCTTGGAGATTGGTTAATGAGTCTTGAACATCACATGCAAATGCAGTGCAATTGGAATACTTCTGATTTCTGTATCACACCATATTCCTACAATGAGACTGATCATTCATGGGAAATGGTCAAAGGACACCTTCTGGGTAGGGAAGATAATTTATCTTTGGACATAACTAAATCAAAGAAACACATTTTTGAAGCCTCTCAAGCTCATTTATCCATTGTGCCTGGAGCTGAGGTGTTAGATCAGGCGGCAGAAAGTCTTTCTGGACTAAACCCCACGACTTGGATTAAGTCTTTTGGGGGCTCCACTGTAGTACATTTTGGAATCATGTTTCTCTGTTTAATCGGTTTGTTTTTAGTGTGCCAGACCAGTCAAAGAATCCTGCATCAAAACTGAGAGAATGAACAAGCCTTCATCGCCATGGCACATTTATATAAAAAGAAAGGGAGACATGTTATGGGAAGTCAGGGACCCCGAGTGGAGGGACTGGTTGGAGCCATGGCAGAGGAACATAAATTGTGAAGATTTCATCTTAATATGGACATTTATCAGTTCTCAAATAATACTTTTATAATTTCTTATGCCTGGTTTAACCTCTTAATCCTGTTATCTTCATAAGCTGAGGATGCACGTCACCTCAGGACCACTGTGATAATTGTGTCACCTGTAGAAATTGATTGTAAAACATGTGTGTTTGAACAATATGAAATCAGTGCATCTTGAAAAAGAACAGAATAATAGTGATTTTTATGGAATAAGAGAAGACAACCATAAGGTCTGACTGCCTGCAGGGTCGGGCAAAAAGAGCCATATTTTTCTTCTTGCAGAGAGCCTATAAATGGACATGCAAGTAGGAAACATATTGCTAAATTCTTTTCCTAGCAAGGAATGTGAATATTAATACCCTGGAAAAAGAATGCGTTCCTGGGGGGAGGTCTATAAATGGCCGCTCTGGGAATGTCTGTATTGTGCAGTTGAGATAAGGACTGAGATAAGCCCTAGTCTCCTGCAAAACCCTCAGGCTTACTAGGGATGGGAAAACTCAACCCTGGTATATCTGTGGTCAGACCTGTTCTCTGCTTTTGAACCCTATTTCCTATTGTTTAAGATGTTTATCAAGACAACACATGCATTATTGAACATAGACCCTTATCAGTGGTTCTGCTTTTGCCCTTTGCCCTGTGATCTTTGTTGTACCTTTAACAGTTGTTCTGCTTTTGCCCTTTGCCCTGTGATCTTTGTTCGACCCTTATCAGTGGTTCTGCTTTTGCCCTTTGCTCTGTTCCCTCAGAAGCATGTGATCTTTGTTAGACCCTTATCAGTGGTTCTGCTTTTTGTTCTTTGAAGCATGTAATCTTTGTACCTACTCTCTGTTCTTACACCCCCCCCCCTTTTGAAACACTTAATAAAAACTTGCTGGTCTGAGACTCAGGTAGGCATCACTGTCCTACTGATATGTGATGTCACCCTTGGCAGCCCAGCTGTAAAATTCCTCTCTTTGTACTGTCTCTCTTTATTTCTCAGCCGGCTGACACTTATGGAAAATAGAAAGAACCTACATTGAAATATTGGGGACAGGTTCCCCCAATACTTTGTTCCTATTAACAGACCAACCTGGCTCCTGCATTAATATGGAGTGGGGAGAACAGCAAAACAATCCATTGTATGCACAAAAGCCAATTCAGTGCAAACCTAGAAACTCCTCTTAGTCAACAGTTTCAAATTTTCTTGTTTTTTGAGATGAGGTCTTGCTCCATCACCCAGGTTGGAGTGCAATGGCACAATCTTGGCTCACTGCAACCTCTGCCTCCCGGGTTCAAGAGATCCTCCCAACTCAGCCTCCCGAGTAGCTGGGACTACAGGTGCCCGCCACCACGCCCGGCTAATGTTTTGTATTTTTAGTAGAGAAGGAGTTTCACTGTGTTAGCCAGGATGGTCTCAATCTCCTGACCTCATGATCCACCCGCCTTGGGCTCCCAAAAGTGCTGGGATTACAGCCGTGAGCCACTGCACCTGGCTGAAAATTTTTCTAAACATGTAACATTCAAATTAGGAACCATGCTGAAGAGCAAATATATGTAAAAGGCAAACATTCAATTTAAAACACTCTAATGAGTTTTGTTTTTTTCCGCTTTTATGGGATTTGACAGGGTTCCACTGAGAACCAAATAAACAAATAAATAAAAACTACTCCTTACGAAGTATACTTTCCTGCAGTAAAATATATATATAATTTAGACAGCAGATCCAAGAAGGTGACCAGGCATACTCAAGTTTCTTCTATGGCTTTTAAAATCACTGAAGTATCATATGATAATCATCACTTCTGATATTTATGTTTAAACTGCTTTCCTATGAAAGCCACATTCAAAAGTGACCCAATCCCATCAGTCCGTAAAGGTAAAAGAATGCGAGGAACTCGGCTCAGGAGTTGCTGCAGAAAACCACAATCACAAGTGCTCCAAAGCCTCAGCAGGTGAGTAGAAAAAGGCGAAGCAATTTGATCCAAACACCAACAGACTTCAGAGGAAGGGAAGCTCCTCAGGCAAAGAAAGAGATCCCCCCAGCATAACCAACAGGTTTAGCAGTGAGACACTGGGACTACCCACATGGAGTCAGGGAGTGCAGATGGACAGTGGGAAGTGGTGTGGAGCAGGTGGAGGAAGACCTGGGGCTGGCAACACAGAAAAGAGGGTGGTGGCTGGCTAGCCCCCACCCACAGGCAAAGTGACACAGTCCATGAAGGAGGGAGGGCGGTCTGAAACTTAAGGATGGATGACACCAGTGAAATTTTGTAGCTGTTTTACAGGCAAGGGGGCGTAGAAAGGAAAAATGTGACTGTTTAAGTAAATGCCACACATCTTAATACCTCTACCTGAATCTTCAACTTACCATACAAATGTGTAAAGCTGAACTTGCCTTTATAATTGAGATAGGTTACACAGACGTTTACTATTCCCAATGACTGGATAAATTATCTTGTCACAAAGTGGATCTGAAGAAAGTATCAAGACCAAGAATATCTTACTGAAGCCCTTTCTGGTAGTAAACTGGCCATTGTGGGCTCTGTATAATACTTAGGCATCAGAAAACAGTCATAACCCTATTACGGGTCAAGTAATAATTCCTTCCAATTAATAATACTACAGATGTGGTTTTGAATGCATAGTCTTTTAGAACCATGAAAAATAATGAGAGCCACCTCTTTTCCCAAAGACCCAGGTTTATTCCAACAGAGTGCCAGGCTAAGGATCCAGCCAGCATTAGCTGCAGCGTGACATGAATCCGGGGATCAGCTGTCCCAATCTCCCACATTCCTCTTTCACAATCACTCAATAAACAGGTCACATATCCCCTAGGTCCATGAACTCATCTTCTCTTTTGGCCAGATCATCTTCATCTTCCAAAGCTTTTCAGCCACTGGTGGGTAAGACCGGCTTAGAGGAATGTCGCTGGAGCAGAGCAAAAGGAAACAAAGAGGACAGGTGGGAAGAGTTCCTCAGCAGGCAGGGGGCCTCAGCCTTGGGGGCCTGCTGGCTGTGGTGTCTCTCATTGACCTTCTCTTGTAAACTCTGGACTTCCTCCATCATTTACAAGAGTTTGCTCATACTGGCCACTCGGCCACCACCTAGGATTTGGGCTTCTGGAATCCAACGCAGAGAGCGCTGGGCCCAGACTTTGATTTCCTGCCCCTCGATAGGCGGTAACAACAAACCATGGTAGTCAGCAGGCTTGCTAGGCCAGCTGTCATAGAACTCTTGAAAGTTATCTTGGAGATCAGGAGAATTAATAAGTTTGCTAATTCTCTTGCCCAGAAGGTTTTTAATTAAATGATCTGTTTCTTCCCTGAAAAATCCTCTTTTGGGAGATGACTTAAATTGAGAATACATATTATTTTTGTCAGCACATGGAATATTCTTCAGGATTGACCACCTCTTAAGAAATAATGCAAGCTTCAAAAAATGCTTAAAAATCGAATCATATCAGGTACTTTATATGACCACAGTGGAATAAATCCAGATATCAATAGCAAGAGGAACATTTCAAACTATACAAATATATTGAAATTAAACAACATGCTCCTAAATGACCATTGGGTGAAGGAAGAAATTAAAAATAAAATTTTAAAATTCTTGAAATAAATGAAAATAGAAGCACAACATAACAAAACCTATGGTACACAGCAAAAACAGTATTTTAGGAGGCAAAGTTTATAGCAATAAATGTCTACATCAAAAAACTGGAAAGACTTCAAGTAAGTGATCTAACGATGCACCTCAAGGGAGTAGAAAAGCAAGAACAAGCCAAACCCAAAATTAGTAGAAGGAAATAAATGAGAAAGATCACATCAGAAATTAATGAAATTGAGAATAGAATAAACAATACAAAAGATCAACATAAAAGCTGATTTAAAAAAAGAAACAACATTGACAAACCATTAGCTAGATTAAGCAAAAAGAGAGATGACCCAAATAAATAAAATCAGAGAAGAGAGGTGTCACAACAGATACCACAGAAATACAAAGAACCATTATAGACTACTATAAACAATTATTTGACAATGAATTTGAAAACCTAGGGAAAATGGATAAATTCCTGGACACAGACAACTGATCAAGATTGAACCAAAAAGAAATAGAAAACCTGAATAGACCAATAGCAAGTAATGCAATTGAATCAATAATAAAAAGTCTTCCAACAAAGTAAACTCCAGAACTGGATGGCTTCACTGCTAAACTGTACTTAACCTTTAAAGAAAAATTAATATCAACTCTCAAATTATATTAAAAAATTGAAACAGAGGAGATTATTCCTAACTCATTCTATGAGGACAGCATAACCCTGATATCAAAACTAGATAAAGACAAAACAAAAAACTACAGTCCAATATCTCTGATGAAAATAGATGCAAGAATCCTCAACAAAATACTAACAAACTGAATCTGGCTACATAGCAAAAAGATAATACACTGTCGTTGAGTGGGATTTATCCCAGGATTGGAAGGTGGTTCAACATACACAAATAAATAAATGTCATATATCACACTAACAGAATGAAGAAGAGAAACCATATGATCATCTCAACAGACACAAAAAAGAAGCTTATAAAAATATTCAACATCTTTTTTGATAAGAAGTCTTAATAAATTTGGTATAGAAGGAAAGTATATCAACATTATAAAGGCCATGTATTACAAACCCACAGCTACCAAGAGCTTCAAGCTTTTCTTCTAAAACCTAGAACAAAAACAAAGATACCCACTCTCATCACTGTTATTCAACATAGAGGTCCTAGCCAGAGAAATCAGGCAAGAGAAATAAATAAAAGCATCCAAAATGAAAAGCAGGAAGTCAAATTGTCCTTGTTTGCAGATGACATGATCTTATATACAGAAAAACCTAAAGACTCATCCAAAAAACTCTTAGAACTGGTATACAAACTCACTGAATTTGCAGGATACAAAATTAATATACAAAATCAGTAGCATTTCTATACATGAACAACAAACTAGCTAAGAAATAAATTAAGAAGGCAATTCCATTTATAATAGCTACAAAAATAATACTTAGAAATCAATTTAACCAAGGAAATGAAAGACCTCTATAAGGAAAACTACAGAGCACTGAGAAGGAAATTAAAGAGGACACAAACAAATGGAAAAATACCAAATACCCATGAATGAGAAGAATTAATATTGTTAAAATGGCAGATAAACCCAAAGCAATCTACATATTCAATGTAATCCCTATCAAAATATCAATAACTTTCTTCACAGAAATAGAAAAATGTCCTAAAATTTGCATGAAACCACAAAAGACGCTGAATAGCCAAAGCAATCTGGAGCAAGAACAAAGTTGAAGGTTTCACACTACCAAAACTGAAAGTATACTACAAAGTTACAGTAACTAAAACAGCATGGTATAAAAACAGACACATAGACCAATAGAATAGAATAGAGAACCCAGAAATTAATCCATATATCTTCAGCCTATTGATTTTTAACAAAGGCACCAAGAACACTCACTGCAGGGAAGTGACAGTCAATAAATGGTGTTGGGAAAACTGCATTTCCATATGCAGAAGAATGAAACTAGACTCAAGCCTCTCATCCTACACAAAAGTCAACTCAAAATGGATCAAAAACCTAAACGGAAGACCTGAAATGATAAAACTACTGGAAGAAAGCAGAGGACATGCTTCAGGACATTTGTCCGGGCAAAGATTTTATAAGACTTCAAAAGTACAGGCAACCAAAGCAAAAATAAACAGGATTATATATATATATATATTTTAAAAGCTTCTACATAACAAAGGAAACAATCAACAAAGTGAGAAGACAACCTACACAATGGGAGAAGATATTTGCAAAGTACTCATCAACCAGGGGTTAATATCCAGAATATACCAAGAATACAAACATGTCAAAAGGAAAAAAAATCCAATTAACAAATATGAAAATAATCTGAAAATACATTTTTGAAAAAAAGACATATAAGTGCCCAATAAACATATGAAAACAGCATCACTTATTGTCAGGGAAATGCAAATCAAAACCACAGTGAGGTATCATCTCACCCCAGTTGTGATGGCTATTATTAAAAATACAAAAAATAATAAATGCTGGTGAGAATGCAGAGAAAAGGGAACGCATACACTGTTGGTGGGAATGTAAGATATGAAATGGGTGGGAATTTAAGATAGTAAATGAAACTAGGTTTCCAATGACAGATAAATAAAGAAAATGAAACATATATACAAAATGGAATACTATTCAATCATAAGAAAGAATGAATTTTGTCATTCTCAGGAACATGGATGGAATTGGAGGAAATTATATTGATGAAATAAACCAGGAACAGAAAGTTAAATACTGCATGTTCTCACTCATACGTGAAAGCCAAAAATAAATAAATAAATAAATAAATAAATAAAAGTTTATCTCATAGAAATAAAAAGTAGGACAGAAGATGAGGCTAGGAAGGACAAGGCGAAGGGAGGAATATGCAGACATTTGTTAAAGGATACAAAATTACAGCTAGATAGGAAGAATAAAGTCTAGTGTTCTATAGCACTGTAGGATGAATATAGTTACAATAATATATAGTTTCAAATTGCTAGAAGGTGTATACTGAACATTACCAAAACAAACAAATGAAAAATGTTTGAGATATTGGATATGCTAATTACTGTGATCTGATCCCAATATAATATATGTATCAAAACATTACTATGTACCCCATGAATATGTACAATTTTGTCAATTAAAAAACGGAATTAAGAACATTGTACATTAAAGTTTTACATAAATGATTATAAAATGTTAAAGAGTATATAAAAATGCCAAAATGACCTTCATATTTTAGTAAACTCTAACGTATTTCATATCTCTTTAGGAGGAAAATAAATTTCCACATCTTATTTATTACCACTTTTCAGGGTGAAAACAAAAAGTAAACAATTTTATGTGATTAAAATTACTAAGAACTCTTTCTGCAATCTCCTATAATAATTGAAGGCTTAAATGTAAAACCCAAAACTATAAAAACCCTGGAAGACAACCTAGGCAATACCATCCTAGACATAGCAACACATAAAGATTTCATGACAGAGACACCAAAAGCAATCACAACCAAAGCAAAAAAATGACATATGGTTGGGAGGCTGAGGCAGGCGGATCATGAGGTCAGGAGATCGAGACCATCCTGGCTAACATGGTGAAACCCCATCTCTACTAAAAGTACAAAAAAATAATTAGCTGGGTGTGGTGGTGGGCGCCTGTAGTCCCCAGGTACTCGGGAGGCTGAGGCAGTGGAATGGCATGAACCTGGGAGGCGGAGCTTGCAGTGAGCTGAGATCACGCCACTGCATTCCAGCCTGGGTGACAGAGCAAGACTCCATCTAAAAAAAAAAAAAAAGGACACATGGGATTTAATTAAACTTAAGAGCTTGTGCAGAGCAAAAGAAATTATCAACAGACTAAACAGACAACCTACAGAATGGGAAAAAATATTTGCAAACTATGTTTCTGACAAAGCTCTACTATCCAGCATCCATAAGGAACTTAAATTTACAAGAGAAAAATAATCCCATGAAAAAATGGGCAAAGGACATGAACAGGCGGTTTTCAAAAGAAGACATACAGGCGGCCAAGAAGCATGTGAAAAAAACCTCAATATCACTGTTCATTAGTGAAATGCAAATCAAAACCACAATGAAAAATGCAAATCAAAACCCCAATGAGATACCATCTCACACCAGTTAGAATGGCGATTATTGAAAGGTCAAAAAATAACAGATGCTGGTGAGGTTGCAGAGAAAAGGAAATGCTTATACATTGTTGGTGGGAGTGTAAATTAGTTCAACCACTTTTGAAAGCAGTATGGCAATTCCTCAAAGAGCTAAAAACAGAACTACCATTCTACCCCACAATCCCATTAGTGGGTATATACACAGAGGATTAGAAATCGTTCTACCAAAGACACATGGACATGAATGTTCTTTGCAGCATTATTCACAATAACAAAGACATGGAATCAACCTAAATGCCCATCAATGACAAATTGGATAAAGAAAATGTGGTTCATATATACCATGGGATATCATACAGTCAGAAAAAAGAATGAGATCATGTCTTTACAGGAACACAGATGAAGCTGGAGGCTATTATCCTTAGCAAACTAACACAGGAACATGAAACCAATTACTGCACCTTCTCACTTACAACTGGGAGCTAAATGATAAGAACTCATGATCACAAAGAGGAAACAACAGACACTGGGGTATACTTGAAGGTGGAGGGTGGGAAGAGGGAGAGGAGCAGAAGAAAAAAGAAACTACTGGATACTAGACTTAATACCTGGATGATGAAATAATCTGTACAACAAACCTTATGATACAAGCTTACCTATACATCAAACCCGCACATGTAACCCAGAACCTAAAATAAAAGTTAATTAAAAAAAAACACCCCATGGTATATCTTTTTCCTGCCCAGCAGATTTCTTTTTTGAATTTTATCTCCATCAAAATAAATGAACATTCAGCTGGGCATGGTGGCTCATCCCTGTAATCCCAGCACTTTGGGAGGTCAAGGCAGGTGGATCACTTGAGGTCAGGAGTTTGAGACAAGTCTGGCCAAAATGGTGAAACCCCATCTCTACTAAAAACACAAAAATTAGCTGGTCATGGTAGTACACATCTGCAGTCCCAGGTACTTGGGGGGCTGAAGCAGGAGAACCACTTGAACCCAGGAGGCAGAGGTTGCAGCAACCCGAGATTGTGCCACCGCACTCCAGCCTGGGTGACAGAGCAAGACTCTCAAAAAACAAAACAAAACAAAAGTAAATGAACACTTTATAAATTTACTTTAATGAAGTCTCCACTTCTGGTTACCATGTTGTAACTGGTAGTGAACTCACCTTTTTGCCATAAGCAACAATACAAAAGTGCAGGGTTGTGATTGGCACACATGAGTATCATGTTTACCTGGACGTTCTCCATGCAGGCACATTTCATGGTCAAGCCCAGCAGAGCAGAGTAATCTCTCTGAGCTGAGAAGTCAGTGACTGTAGCTCATAATAACTACAGTGGAAATATACAACATATATTACTTTGCTCACAGATATGCAATCTGGGCAGGACTCAGAAGGGACACCTAATTTCTGTCCCGTTCAGTCATCTGGGGCAGCTTGAAAACTGGGCTGAAATCATCTGAAGTTTCTGTTCCCTTGTGTCTGGCGGTTGACACTGGGAAGACTCAAACTGTTGGGGGCTGGGACAGCTGGAGTTCCTTGGGTCTTTGCATCTCTGTGTGGCCTCTATATGTGGTCTCTCCAGTGCAAAGCTTTAGGATAGACAGATTTCTCATGTGTCAACTGAGGGCTCCCAAGACATGTGTCTCAAGAAAGGGTAACAGGCAGAAGCTGAATTGCCTTTCCTAACCTAACCTTTATAGCCATGCTGCTTCTCATCCAACAGACTAGAAGTGAGTCACTAAGGCTGGCCCAAGATTCAAGGGGAGGGAATCCAATTCAGCCAACTCTTGTGGAGGAATGTCCAAAATTTTGCCAATATGTCTTAAAACCATCTCAAGATCCAGAAGTACATCCAGTAGCCTTAGATGGAGATGGAAATCTAGATTCATACAGAGATAAACTGATATGCTGGGATGAGAAGAGGGAGCAGGACAATATGATGGTTCTCAGAAATATATAATTGCTGAGTTATAAAAGTATACAGAATACAAAATGTAGATGAAATTTCATACTGTCAGCTTTAAAGAAAGGCAGACTTAGCCAAACTTCTTGAAGAACATGGTCTTTGAACTATTAATATGTCTTAAAGAAAAACGATGTGGGGCATATTAAGGATTAATTAGCAAGATGATTAAGAACATCAAATTGGGCTGGAGTCTAGCTGGAATGGGAGTGGAGGCAGAAGGAGCCAGGGAGTGGTGTGAAATTAAAGCTCTGAGGGTAACTGTAAAAACGTGGAGGTACAAACAAATTTTGAAAATGGAAACACCTGGTCTTGGGTTATTTCGGTCTGGAAGAACTAAATAATGACAATAAATTTATATTACACATTTTTTTAATTCCAAGGAAAATCTTTAAGGAAAGTAATTCAGTGCCCAAAAGAGAAAACAGATTAAGTATGAAAGGTCTTTAAAAGGTCAATCTTAATATGGAAACAAAAGAGAACAAGATAGAAAATTAAGCATGAATGTGTACAAGGAAGAGATAGAATAGGGACTCAACAACAAATGGGGAGAGAATAAAGAAACAGAGTTATAAACAAAGTATAATTTTCATTGTCCATAAAAATCGTGAGTCCTCAGAGAAAAGAAGGGAAAAAGGGGTAAATTTCATTAGCAAAATATTTCATCTAAAGGAGTATAAAAGGAATTATTTGGCAGCAGAAAAAGGCCAAGACGAGAAGTTTTTGTTAATAAGCAAGATTTTTAATTTATCAAATTTATTAAATATATTTAATATTAATAAGTTTTAAATATTAAATATTGTATTAATAACAATATTCCAGCACATTGATAATATGCTAGGATTTCAGCACAGCTATTGGCTAATAACACTTGCTCAGTACCTTGCTATAAATTAAACTAAAATCACATAAGCTATGGATTTTAAACCTAAAGGTAAGAGACCATAAACTGGTATGCAAAAGATTACAAGTTGAATAGATTTTTTGAGGCACATTTCGAAGTAAGTTTTAAACATCTTTGTTACATGTTTATTATATATCTAGTACTCTCAAAAGAGTGAATAATAAATTCAGTAAGAAGGTCTGTTGATGTATAAGGTGAATGACATTTTATTATTGAGTGTGCAAAAACTAACATTTTGTTTATTTGCTGTAGCTTATCTTGCTTTCAAGAGACCATTCCCACCAGCTTCTAGTGGTCTGAAATAGTCTTTTTGTGAAAAATATTCAGTTAATTCAAAATCCTTTGTCCAAAAGCACAGCTGGTTATCAAGTTATAATGCCAGCACCCACTGTTTAAGTTTGTGCTGGCTCTCCTTACTTCTGAAGACCTGAGAGGACTTTTCACTCTGTAGCCTCCTTGATGGAAGCCACAGCCCTATTCCGATTCACTAGTTCTTTCCTCCAAGCCATCTGAGGAGCCTGGGAACTCCAGCTCCTTTCTTCATACCATGTAGAGCCATGCTGTAGCCATTGCTGCTCCACTGCTTTGGCACCTTCTTGAATATGGTACCAGGGAAAATGTGGAACTTCTTTTCAGGGCTAGCAGTTTTCAGGACTGTGTTCTCAGCATCAGAAAGGAAGACCTGCTATAATGAAGTGTTCCTAGGAAAGAAAATTATCCTTTCCTTGATTTCTTCTCCCCATTTTCCAGGTACTCCCACCATGAAGGGGAAATGCAAGGTCATTTGTGTGTCTCTCTCTTTCTCCTCTTCTCTCAGGACTGGAAGGGCTATGCACTTAGCATTTCTCCCTCCTGTCTCTGAGGGAATTCTATACATTCTCCATACCTTGGCTCTTAATAAAATTCTACCTTCAGACCAGTAAGCTTTTCACTACATAAGCAAAGAGAAGTTGTTCTACTTAGAAATTTTCTCAATGAAAAAAGCCTAATTTTTAATACTATTGTCTTTCTAGAGACATAGGAAAGTCAGCTTTGAGACTCAAAGCTAAGCAATAATTTCTTTGTTCTAGACCAGTGTTTTCAAACTTGAGTGTACGTCAGAGTCACCTGGAAGGTTTGTTAAAACAGAGATTGCTGGGCCCCACCAGCAGAGTTTTCTATTCAGTAGGTGAGGGGTGGGGCTTCAGAATTTGCATTTCTAACAAATTCCCAGGAAAATGACACTTTAAAATTACTTGTTATTACTTGGTATGAATTTACAAGAAGATTCAGGGACTATAGGAGGCCATTTACATAAACATTTCTAGCCCATATGATAACCTTACAAGTAGGCATTACTATTATCTCTACTTTCTCAAGGACATACAATCAGTCTTGTAGAGATTACCTGACTTCCAAGATGGTACAGTTTATAAGTGTCAGGGCCAGGATTTGAACCCAGCTCTGGCTCCAAGGATGTACTTCATTACACTGACTAAGGATCCAAGCAACATATGAAGGTGATGGTAAATTTTAAACTGTATCTAATAGACTACTCTAATAGTGCTTGCACACACACACATACACATGCACATACATGTACACAGAAATTATCCTGGCACTTAAGAGGGTCAATGTTGGAGCCAAGAGTACCCACTTAGGGGAATAAACTTACTGAAGCACGATATTTCCCTGATCCTTTCCCAGGAGGGAACTGGAGTGTATAGGTGCTGGAACTAGCCAGCTGCTTCAGTGCCGGTAGAGGTGAACTCCACTCACTGGGACCCACTGCACTCCACCCCTTGCCGGAGGGAGCACACAGGTGAGCCAGTGCAGGAGCCAGGGCAAGCACTTTTGGGCTCCGGCAGCTTTACTTTAAACTCAGTTATTAAAATTAATTTCATTTTATATTTTACATTTTCAAAATGAGCTAAAAAATGTGCAACTAATATCTGAACTCATGGTGATATACAACTTTGGCATGCAATTTGTTTTACTTCACACAGCAGGAAAAGATTTCTCTCTGAGTGTCCCAAGACACATGCAGTCCAAGAACCCGGAAGATGTTATGGACTGTGAATTTGCATTCTGGGTGGGTCCCTGGTTAGAGACAACTGGAACCCTATTTTAGGACTATTACTTTACAGTGTTTCTTCTTGTGTCCCCTACTGTCATAATATGGCTGAGACAAATGCAAAGCAGTGGTTTCCCCTTTTTACTCCTATTTTTTTGAAGGTTGGTAAATTGTAAGGTGATTTTGACGTTAAGTAAGAGCTAGCAATGCTTACTGAATGCCCCTTATATTAAAGATTAAGTGTTGTTTTGCAGAAGCCAAAGCCTAGTTTTTAAAACTGACAATGGTGTTTTAGAGATGAGAAAGCTGTGTTAAAAGATAGCTCTGTAGGTTATTGGCTCATTAGACATATATATGTCCTGTAATTATAAAACCAAATTCATAATGCATCTTTCTGATACAACAATGGAGTATAGATATCAATATGAAGTTTGGAGTCTGACCAGGAAAATTTATCTTTAGAAGTGGCAGGATTATTGCGGCATGGTTATCTATGGTGCTACCTAATCACAACCAAAGCTCTTCAATCCAGAAATTTCTTGAATTCTCATTCAATGCATATGATAGTATAAGGCCAATCAATATGTTATAATTTGATGTTATAGCAAGACTCTACGGCTCTTTGAATTTGTAATTGTTAATTCTTCTATGTACTAGAATTTAGAAATGTTGCACTTAAGCAGGATTACAACTCTATAAAGACAAACATTTTGAAAAGGAAAATAAAGTTTTATTACTGTAATATATGTACTATAAGAAAGACACAGGATGACAACTTTTCCAGTGAAAAAGACTGAAAACAGCCTTTCCAATGAAATAGACTGACTTCTAATCCCAGATTCCTCACTTGGTATCTATAAGACCTTGGTTATTGTCTCTGATGCTCTCATCTGTAAAATGGAATAATATATAAGACTGTTAAGGGACTGTTCAAAGAATCAGAAATTACTCAGAAGTTTCTAAGAAGCAATGTGTGATTTAGAGAATTACAGCTATTTACATGTGATAAAATAAAGCTTTAGTTGAATTTGCATTTTGAAACAAAATTTAATCAGTAAGCATACTGTCTCTGGACATATATGTACGTATACAAATAATTATAGACTCTTTGGATTGCATGTGATTTATGTGTCATCCAGCTCAAACCTCTACTTAATGCAACATCTGATATACAACTTTCTTAAAATAAATTCATTCAGCTTTGCTTGGACCTTTCCAATGACCAAACTTCAAAAGGCTGCATTTGTTTTCAAGGCAGGGATACTGGTGAATTAAGAGCATCTGAGACCTAGTGGTGTTTCTATGGTTTCATCATTTTTCTCCTTCCTTGGGTGATGTCTGAAGTCACTTTTTATGCATGACTTGCCTAGTTGCCTTCTAGTAGACTTGCTAATCAGTCCTGCTCTGAACTCCCAGAACCAATCACAATAGAGATGCAGGTTGGATATCCCAGTTCAAGAAAATTATTAGTTCTCTCTCTTTCTTCAAACTTATTCTTTAAAAAATAAACATAAAACCAAAAGGGGCACTAGCATTTTGTGAGACCCCTTCATACTTTTGGTTCATGTAAAGTTTCATTAACTACAATTTGTTGGTCTGTCTTAATGGGGTCTTTACTTAAATATCTGACCATTGCTAGGAGCAGAGAGTCATAAGAGTAATTTGAGATTCCTCATTCTCATAGTGCTTGGTATTCCTGATGCAATTCCTATTAATTCTACCTCCTTGAAAACAAAACTATAAAACTCTCCAGGCACAATTTGTAACAGAATGTAGTTAAACCTGCACCATAAACTTATTCTTTATGTCAGCGTAACTTACTCACATTGTCTCTATTTATTTCAGTCTTAAGGCCATTAAAATCTAAATGATGATTCAAATGCTTGTTTTGGTTTACTTCATTATTCAATTATGTTTTTAAAGATGAAGATGGTTATATTATCTCCAAATGAAATTAACACATTAAATAAGGAATACAATATTAAATATCTAAAGTTTTGGCATTATGGCAAGGTCAAATGTGGTATTTTTTAACTCTATTGATTCACATTTATGACCCAAATGAGGTTAATGCTTATGTACAGGGTAAAATTAAACCAAGGTTAGACAAGAAGTCTTCTCCAATACAAGATAGAGAACCAACAAGTTGCACAGTATTGTTAAAATTTGCATTAGTGTTCATTCTTAATGATACATTATCTACTTTTCCTAAATGTTAACACAGTCTTTACCCCTATTATTGAGTCTAATTTTCTAAACTATTTATATTGATAATGTGATAATTGTTTCAGTAATACTTAGCTGTGACTATGTAATGATTCACTTATTAAAACAGAAAAATTTTCTTCTATAGTACATTAAAATCAAATATGTAAAAAATAATTTTCCTGAGAAAACTTTCAAATTTTCCTCTTATAGGTAGGAAGGCATAATTCTGTTTAAGAATACACTCTCACATTAAAGCTCTCAATTCTTAAATTATTTAAATAAATACAGTTTAATACTGCTACCATTTGCTTTAAAAAAAATTAAACTGTATAGAGTTATCACATATTTCAATTGATTTATATCTTGAGAAGAATATGTATCATACTATTTGTAAGTTAAAATGGAGTGCAAAAATATATCAAGTAGGGTAATTAGGAAACTGTGTCACAGTGAACTGAGGGGTTTATGTTGTCTGCTATTTGGTACATTAAGGAACAACGTTTCCCCTTGTTTTCCCATAATTTTGAGGCATAACTGTAAATATTACACAACTGAACTTAATGTTTTAATGAATAAGAGTAGTTGATTTTCCTGAATCTATATTTTGTGTTACCATGAGATAAGCATACTGAAGTGAGTTAATCTAATTACACATACACTGACCTCATTTGTAAAAAAGAGCCATGAAAACATACAACATCCATTGAACAAATTTGTTATTGTTTCTAAATCCTGGTTTTTCTGGACAGATATGTGTTAGGAGAACTGCTATGATGCATGGTGCATGCAAGCGCTTATCTTAGTCTCAGCTTTCACATGAAAACTATTACACAAATTCTATCATTATCAGAATGACTTTGTATGCCAATTCAAACACCAGCTGAATAATTTTGCTACACATTATTGAAGTGGTAAGGAGCATTTCCTTCAAGCTATCCCTTTTTAAACTCTCTATACTCTCAGAAAACTCACCTGCCTCTGTACAAATGATTCCCTAATCTGCATAGTCATGTTAATCTCCCTGAGCTCAAGGTCTGTTGCTTGGCTATTGCCACTTTGATGTCTACTGCCAAACCAAATTTGATTTATTAGAAACATAAAATAGTAATTCTATGAAATGCTTGCCTTTCCTCCATTTCCTCCCACTTTCTTTTTCATTTTAGAGTCAAAGTAATTCTCCTAATACCAGGTTCAAAAGTAACCACTGCTTTTCTGTATTTTCTAAAATCCACTTAGTCCATAAGCGTAGTCAAAGCTTCCTCTCAAATGTATCATTTCCTCTCCATTTCCATTGCCACATTCATAAGCAAGGTCTTCACTAACTCCCAAGTAAGCATAAATGTTAAGTTCCATGGGAAATTCCAAATCTTACTTTTAAAAATTAGATCCTATTCCTGTTCAAATTCTCACTTGGTCTAAAAATCTTAATCTCAAACTTTTAAACTGAAGTATATGATGAATGGTCCTTCAAAATCACATTTAGCTCAATTGGAAAAAAGAGTCAAGCAAATAAACACAAATTAACAATTTTTCCAAAGACAATATTAATTGATCTTTCTAACTGTTTTGTTTTTTATTAAAATGTCAAAGATGCCAAACACTGGGGAGAAAAGTGGAATATGGAAGTTAGGTGACAAGATATTATCAATTTCAATTCTTTCTGGACTGTATAGTAGGAATGAAAGAAAGGAGGAAGGAAGTTAGCGATAACTGACTTTTTGAAGTGTTTATATATGTTATACATAATATTAAACATATGCAACATATGTACCATATAGTATTGCAATGGTCTCATAATTGGCCTTTCTTTCTGTTGATACTTCCTTCCTCCAATCTACTTGCACATGAATTTGTGATGAATCTTCCAAAACAATGGCCTATATACATCGTTCTCTTGCTCAGAGTCCTTTATTGCTTCCTCATTGCCTGCAAAATAGAACGCACAAGACTTGATTTGGAATTTATGACTCTCATAAACCTACCCTTAAGCCACCATTCCAATTTATTTAAGCTCTGTGCTGGGGACCTGTTGCTGATCAAGTTTTGTTTTTGAAAATTACAATTCTCTTGGCCTTATCTTTATCCTGAAACAAGGAATCCCAGTGACAGGGCAACTCATTTAAAAATACAAAAGACATAGAAGAATAGACAACGGGTAAACATCTCCTATGCCACCTAGATCCCTTGAGGAAACCAGGGAAGTCTGTTGGATTTATTTTCTATGTATGGACATTCTTCCAGATTTATACTATGTAAAAATAATAAACACATATATTTCTGTTGCATCTCCTATATTTACACAAAGGATAATGCACTATATACCCCTTGCCTTGGAGATTGTTCCTTATGGGTACTTACACAGCTTCCTTATACTTTACTTCTTTTCTGTAATAATTAGAAGGCATGCCATTTTACCACAATTTGTTTCTCTAATTCCAAATTTGCACTGGTTCCATTTAGACTGTTTACAATATTTTATAACTACAAATAATGCTTCATTGAATAACTTGTCATATGTCATTTTGCATATGTGCAACTATACCTATGGGATAAATTACAAGAAGTCAAGTTGCTGGGTCAAAGAGTATGGTGCATTACTAATTTTAAACATATGCCAAATATATAATTTATACTTTCACCAATAATGTATGAAAGTATGTGCTTTCTTATACCTTTGCCAACATAGTAACTTATCAACTATTTTATCTTGGTTAAGCTGATAAGAAAAAATGATAGCTGGTTATGGTTTACTCAAAACGTTTCTTGTGGTTGAGATTGAACATCTTCCTTATGTATAAAAACCATTTCTATTTTGTTTTCTGTGAACATAAATACGTCTTTTGGCCATTGTTCTATTAATCTAATTACCTTTAACTGAGTTATGGAAATTCTTAACATATCAGAAAATGTATTTATGATTTTAAAAAATGCCAATATTTACTGAGTTTATCTTTTGACTTTGCTCATAGTGGGTTTTTTTTTTCTATTTTGAAATTGTTTTCAATTTAATTTAAAAATCTTTTAAGAATTCTAACTTTTTGTCATACTTATAAAGCACTTCTTCATTCAAATAATTTTCTGAATTCTCTTAGTTTTTTTATAGTTTAATTTTAACGTGAATCTCCCAAGACTGGGAGTACCACTTTTAAAGCTTACTTAGGACCTAATTTCTAGGGCCAGAGTTTTGGAGATGCTTCTACCAACATAATAACATTATATTTGGAACCTGGAAACAAAGTACTTTTCTATCTATACAACACCCCCTTTAAACATATCCCTGTAGACATCTAGGCCCCTACAGAGTGCCTCCTGACCTCTTGTCCCTTCAGTCCTGAGGTACATAATCACTTACTACCCTTTCTTCATGGCTGTTGTCTCGTGATCTCATCCCTTTCAGCACAGCTCTAACCTTCTGCCAACCTGTTGGCATTTTCTGCAAGCCTAATCACTATGGCCCCCAAAACAAATTCTTTTTTAATATTTGACCATTTTATTCTCTTCATCTTAATTGAATCATTTGTTTTCCTTAAGATTCCTACTTCCTTCCCAACCGAATCATGTCAGGGCCATTCACTCCTAAAGAAGTGAAAAGTCTACATGCCCTTCTTCTCCACTAGTACTTCTAGACTCATTCCATAGATAGCTGGTCCAACTACTCTCTTCTTTTCAGTCCACTCCCTTCTGTTGTAAGAATCCTTTCTCATCACCATGTCACCTTCTACTGACATCTCTGGCTCATTCCCACATTTTCTCAAGAACATTAGCACCTAATTCAAATTCAGCCTAATTCAAATCAGCCTCCATTAAAAGTCCTGGTTCTAGAACTAGACTGTGAGGATTAAATCATGGCTTCTCCATTAGTGTCATATACTTGAGTAAGTAACCCAACATCTTTGTGTTTTAGTTATTTCATGTACAAAATGAGATTAGTACTAGTACCTACCTCCTAAACTTCTTAGTGTTGTTATGAAGATTAAACAAGATGTTATATAAAAAGTTCTTAAAATAATAGCTACTATGCAGTGGGTACTCAATGGACATTAATTATTATTATTTCCACTTTCCCCAAGCTTTCAATGCCTTTTTAATTACCAAATTCACCATTCTTGTTTCCTCTATAGCACTTGATGAAATTAAGCATTTCTCACCTTCACACATGTCTCCTCTTTTCAATAGCTATTATCTTGGCTTTGGTAAGACTGTATTCTTTACGTTCTCTCCTACTCTTTGACCAGTCCTTCTTTATCTCCCTCACTGTGCTTTCTCCCTTCCCTGTGTCCTAACTATAGATATTCTCTCTGTTTCTGCCATTCTCCCTTCCATCTCAGTGTATGTTGAAACTTTTCTTTGTCATGTGAATTCTACCTCATCCTAACTATTATAAAAGAATAAGAAAAATACCACTTTAAAGGATTCTGAATGCAAAGAAAATACTCAGATAGCTTTACTAGTTTATAGTGGCAGGTACCTAGGCCTGATGAGTATTTTTGACATGTAAACAGGCACACTAAGCACCTTTATCAAAATCTAGGCATTTCATTGGGTATATTGCAGTAAACATACATCGTCATAAAGGTTAAAGTAATGGTCATAGGAGTGGTAGTGGTGCTAATGGTATAATATTGATTTTCCTGTGATATCAGGACTCTTATTTTCTGACCTATAGTTCTATTACTCTCCAAATAGGTGAAATACTTTTTAATTGATTTTTATGCCATGCAATCCTAGTTGTGACTGGATTCTTGATGCCTTCCATTTTCTTGGTTAAAGTAACAGACAGTAACCGTGGTAACCATAGTTACACACCTGGCTCTAGATTTGATTCTACAGTTTCTGGATCTCTTTTCTTTCTCTGACATTCGGTAAACAATTACCCTGACTCTTTGCCTATGTTTGGCCTCTGATGCCTACCTGAGAATATGTATGGGTTCTCTTTTGCCTTTCCCTCCCATCTGCACATTTCATTCTTACTGCTGGTTTCTTCATTCATTTAACTTGTTATGGAGTGATATGACCAGATATGCGTAATTTTTAAAAATTCAAAATATTTTCCAGATGAATGAGTTAAAAGCATAAAACTAGTTAAATAAAAGCACAATTTAGGAAATACTGAATTGAAAATAAAACACTAAAAGATTTTAGTAAAGAATTCTTTTTGAATGTTGCAAATAGAGAATTGAAACAATAAGTTAAATTGGTCATATTAGATACTAAAAACATACTTACAGAAGAGTAGCAAATATACAATTTGGATATGTTCTTGGCATTCATACATCAGCTAGTAAGATTAAAAACTATGTTGAGTAATTAGCCAAAGAGGAGACCTCTGTGTTACTTACACGGATGACACCTAAGTTATCCAAAACCCTGATAAATAACACCAGGGATTTATTTGCAGTGCTAGATTTGTGTTTCATGCTACCTTAAAGAACCTTTCTGCACTGAAACCACATCAACTTGAAAACATGTATCCAGCAGTGCTTCTAGGATGGTAAGAGAGGTTGTTAAAAATGTGTTAAGCCTCTTACAGTGCAATATTATTGCTTTAAGGGCATAGTAAACATCAATTCCACCTAAAAAAAACTACTCCTGTGATGACATTGATGTGAATTCAAAAAGCTTTTAAGATTTTCTTAGACTGATTCCATGCTTGAAGGCAAAACTGTCCACTAACCATTATTAGAATAATACCTAAATAAACTGATCTCTTGTGATTCATCTGTACAATAGTATCATTGTCAAAGAGTTAAAAGTATCAGTTATTCTCACCACCATATACTAAGGAGAATTGTTATTCATTCCTTATTGGATTAGCACAACATTTACATAGATAAAGGGCTAAAGATACATCTTTGGCATTTCTGGTTTCCTCTTGTGGTCCAATCAAGTCTTTAGGTCTTAGGCTTTGAAGGGTAACTGAGTAATGACTGTGTCTGTATTCCATGAGGTCAGGGTGCTTGCCTCATTTGCCCACCTCTGTACCATCAGTGTGTAACACAATGCTTGGCGCATAAACAGAACTCAATGAATAATTGTTGAATGAGAAAATGAATGAAAGATCCTGCAGCCAACCACATGACTTAACTGAAAAAAGGCTTGATGCAGCATCTTGCTTATACTTCAGGCAATAAATTTTCAAGGTTTAAACAATTATAACTTAGAACCAAATAGGGGCAAAAAGAGGTAAGGTTATTTTTTTTTCAAAGTCTCTGCCTTCTTTCCCCCTAACTCTTACTAATTTTTCAGGTCTCTCTAATGTGTCTTCCTCTTTAGGAATCCTTCTCTGACCTTTTCACCAACCCAGGCTAAGAGTCCAACATCACACTCTGGGGACTGTTGTGGTGGGGGGAAGGGGGAGGGATAGCATTAGGAGATATACTTAATGCTAAATGACGAGTTAATGGGTGCAGCACACCAGCATGGCACATGTATACATATGTAACTAACCTGCACATTGTGCACATGTACCCTAAAACTTAAAGAATAATAATAATTAAAAAAAAAGAAAAAAAGAAAAAAAAAAAGAGTCCATCTGCTATATACCTCATGGCGTATACAAGAATACCAAATCAGTTTGGTACTATTTGAAAAGAAGAGTGAGACAGTAACACAACCTGAGACTGGAAAAGTTGAAGGACTCACATAGGGCCTTGTCTAATGCTACGGGACTTAAAAAACATCCTGTGGATGATATAAAGCCATTGAAAAGATTCTGCTAGTAGTGGCAATATCATATTTTAATTCAAAATGAATCATTTTGAGAAACGGTAATAGAGGGTAGGGGGGCAAGATTGAATAAACAGATTATTTTGACAGTCTAGATAAGAGATAATGAGAATAGAGGTGAGAGAGAAATCAGATTAAATAACCATTTAGGGGGTAAAATCAGAAGGAATAAACAGAGGTGGGAAGAGAGATCAGATTAAATAACTATTTAGGGGATAAAATCAAAAGAACTTGATAATGGTTTAGATATAGGGTAGAGACAAGGATAAGTTTCATTTACTAATTCAAGAATTTATTGACTACCTCCTGTATTCTAATTACTGTGCTAGGTAGGCAAGATAGGATGTCAAATACACACTATCCTGTTCTCAAGAGATCACAGTCTAGTTGAAGAGATTATGGTGTAGAGTGGAGCAAAGGAGCGAGGTCTTGATGACTTCTAGTTTCCTAGCTCAAGCCACTGAATTGATGAAAGTGCCAATAACTAGGAAAGAAAATACATGAGGAGCAAGTAGGAAAACAAGATATGACACATTAAGAAATCAGCTTTAAAGTGTCTTAGTTCATTTGGCCTGGTATAACAAAATATTGTAAACAAAGTAGTTTATAAACAACAGGAACTTATTTCTCACAGTTCTGGAGGCTGAGAAGTCCAAGATCAAGGCACCAGCAGGGATTTGGTGTCTGGTGAGGGCCTACTTTCTCACAACACCTTTTTACTGTGTCCTCACATGGTGGAAGAGGCAAGGCCACTCTCTGGGGCTTCTTTTCTAAGAGAACTAATCTCATTCATAAGGCTCTGTCCTCATGATCTAATCACTTCCCAAAGGGACTACCTCCTAATGTCATCGCATTAGTGATTAGGTTTCAATATATGTATTTTGGGGGCATGCAAACATTGAGACCACAGCACAAGGCAACATATAAGCAACATGTAATATAACACAAACTACAATGATATAATTTAGTTGCTTTAAAATTAGGGTTTAGGGCCAGGTACAGTGGCTCATGCCTGTAATCCGGCACTTTGGGAGGCTGAAGCAGGTGGGTCACCTGAGGTCAGGAGTTCAAAACCAGCCTGGCCAACATGGTGAAATCCTGTCTCTACTAAAATTACAAAATTAGCTGGGCATGGTGGTGCATGCCTGTAATCCCAGTTACTCAGGAGGCTGAGGCAGGGGAATGGCTTGAACTTGGGAGGCAGAGGTTGCAGTGAGCTAATATCATGCCATTGCACCCCAGCCTGGGCAAGAAGGGTGAAACTCCGACTCAAAAAAAAAAAAAATAGTGTTTAGGATTAAGTGATCTCCTTAGACTAAGCTTCTATTATTCTGTGATTCTAAATTGCTCTTTTAAAGAGGAATTTTTTACTCTTTAAAAGGACTCGTTTAATTTCTTAGAGTAATTTCTAGGAAGGTTATTTTAAGTATTTAAATTCACTCCCTCTAGTGAATTGAAAATGCAACTTGCCTTGCTAATTTTAGAGCCCCACAAATATTTTCAGAAATTCAGCTCTCCCTTAGCTATGGCTAAATATAATTGTTGAAGGAGTACAGAACAAGGAGGTGATTAAAATGGAATGCATTAAACATGACAGAAGGAATGAAATGTGAGAACAAGTTCAGAAACTTAAAGAAAAATAGAATGGCTAGGAACCAAGAGCTCATCATGTTGGACAACAACAAATGATGACGTGGGACGGCCTGGAGGCAGCTTAGTGACAAGAGGACTCAGTGTAGACTGAGAAATTCAAAGTTGATTTAATATGAAAGAAGGCATTTCTGCAGACTTTGCAAAAGAATGACCTAAATATGATGTTTGAAGACCTTATGATGGCCCTTATATAGAGGATGAGGTAGAATTAGGAAGAATGGAGGTAGGGACACTAATGTTGTGACACAGGCAATTGGATGACAGATTTGTGATATGACTGGAGATTGCAGCAGGAACAGGTTCAGTAACTCAACCCATCCAGTAAATATCATCTCAAAAAATGGGTAAAAATGAATTAACTTGTTCCAGAAGTGTGCTTACATTTGACAGGGCTCCTATGAGATTATTTGGAAAATGCCACTCTTGAGAGATGCTCTTCCCCAAAGAAGGTATAGCAAAATCTTGGGATGTTGAAATTATCATCAACTCCTTCAGAGATCTCAGCCCTAGGAAGCAGCATACTTGCAGAAGGAAGGACAAGTGATAAATCTTAGATCCGAAAGTATGGTGAGAGTATAAAAGACTTAGTAAGATAATCTAGAATGATGTCACATTAACTGAAGTGTTGAGAAATAATCCAGAAAGTATGACTACATTATTGACGCAGAGATATTTACTGCATCAAGAAATTCCAGGTTTTCTTGATTACTAACAGAGGAAATGGGAACAAAAAACATAAAACATGCCCTGTCAATGATAATGTACTTCCACGGCAAAATGTTAAGACATTGAAGTTTATGAGGTTAAGTCAAGCCAAGTCACTCATTTAATTCAGCCAAGCTTCTTGAAAAAAATGGGAATCTGGACATGGCATTTTAGAAAAATGAATAATGCCATCCTGAAAATGATTTTGGTGCTCAATGATAGAATTACTGTAGTCTGAAAAAAAAAAGCCTTCCTTTAAAAAATGTCAACACTTTCTTAATGGTGCAGAAGAAAATCTAAATGATTTATAAGGTATCTACATGGATTCTGGTCAGCTTTTTTGGAGCAAGAGCAAATAAAGCCATGTTGACATTAGCTGTGTTGTTAATACGCAAACAAGGCAAAAGTGAAACAGTTCTGCTGGCCTTAGCCCAGATGGATTCTGTGTTGGCAAAATTTATAAAGTGCATAACAGACAGCAAGATAAAAAATGTTTTGTATATTTTCTAAAACAATAATATGATCATACAAAATGTGTTTTACCAAGAAGTAGAAAAAATACCTGTTTCATGTGTATGTTTATATAAATTTTACTTAATATACAAAGTGTGACATGCAACTCTCTTAAAATGAAAGGACTGTAAGTAACTAAGTAAATTAAGATGTGAGACATAGGAGAATACTCTGTGGACAAGCTGTGGACAAGCATGTATTATCACCATTATCACCCTACTGAGTTTCTGGTGTTATATTAAAAAGTTTAGACATATATAATTATCTCAAAATTCCTTAATGATGATATAACAAATTGATTACCTAAACCACCATATAAAATATAACAACTGTAAGCACACATTGGTAGAAGAGTTTTATCAGACTGTGCTGGGGGCTAAAGCAGTGGTTCCTAAATGGGTGGTCGGACTGTATAGTCATGTGGGAAACATTTTCTAAGTCCAGATAACTTGGCCCTGGCTCAGATTCAGTAGGTCTGGAGTGAAGCCTGTAAATCTATGTTTTTAAAAAAATTCCTAGTTCATTTTTATGTCCACTTATGTCTGGGAGTCACAGGACTAGGTGATAGAATGGGTAAATCAATGAAGGCTTATTAGAAGAGGTGTGCCTTGAGAAGTGGTTCACTCACACAGTATTCTATCAAACACTCTTTACTGAACAGTAACTATGTGCCAGGTACTAGGAATATAAAACTAAAAGTAAACCAACATTAGGGTAATGTCATAATTCAAGTGAAAGTATACACAAGATGCCCAGGAAGCTCATGAGAGGAATATTTACATCATGTAGGATGTTTGGAATCTTTTCTTGGAGGAAGTAAGGCTACAGTTGGAGCTTGAATAACAGAGAAGAGAAAGGGCTTTAAAAAAAGAGAGAGAGAAAATCCATGTCTGTAATCCCAGCACTTTGGGAGGCCGAGGCAAGTGGATCACAAAGTCAGGAGTTCAAGACCAGCCTGGCCAACGTGGTGAAACCCCATCTCTACTAAAAATATAAAAATTAGCCAGGCATGGTGGCAGATGCCTGTAATCCCAGCTACTCAGGAGGCTGGGGCAGAGAATTGCTTGAACCCCATAGGCAGAGGTTGCAGTGAGCTGAGATTGTGCCACTGCACTCCAGCCTGGGTGACAGAGTGAGACTCCATCTCAAAAAAAAAAAAAAAAAAAAAAAAAAAAAAATCAATACAACAGCAGGAGGGAAGACAGGAAAAGTGAAAAGAAAGCTTACAGGCAAAAACATTTCTTGAAATTAAGTTTCTGGATATTCAGAAGTGAAATATACAATACACAAATGACTTAACAATTTTTCAGGTACATTTCCCAAATAAAATCACATCTATTTTCATAATGTAGTTCCCATAATATGGTAATTGACACCACAATATGGTAATTGACTTTTGTCTTTCTTATTTCGTAGGAATTATAGGAATGAAAAAATATAGCATCAAGATCTGAATCCTAGTTTTACCATTTACTAACTATATGTCCTCAAGAAAAACACCAATCTCTCTACGACTCAATTTCTCTTATAAAATGGGCTTACTATTACTTCAAAAGTTTTTACTGATACACAATATTTGTACATTTTTATAGTGTACATATGACACTTTGCTACATGCACAGAATGTGCAAGTCATGGTATTTAGGGTATCCATCACCTCAAGTATGTATCATTTCTGTGTTGGGAACATTTCAAATCCTCTCTTCTAGCTACTTTGAAAGATACAATATACTGTTATTAACTATAGTCACCTTACCCTATTTATTGAACATTAGAATTTATTTCTTCTATCTAACTATGTATTTGTATCGATTAACCAACTTCACACACACACACACACACACACACACACACACACCACACACCCTTCCCAGCCTGTAGTGCAAACTGCGTTCATGACTTTCCTCCCCACGACCACTTCTGTCCCCAGTCTCAGCAAATGGTGCTAGCAGTAATCCAATTGTCCAAACTAGAAACCTTGGGATTACAGTTAACATCCTGCACGGTCACTAGTAGCCCATATGGCATCTTTGTGCAACTTAGAAAAGATCTTCTTTTCTCCTGATGGACATAGGCCATGCCAGAGCACACAATCAGGTAAGCTGGGCTCACAGAAAAATCAGCACCTACTCATTTCCTGAGCAGCCATCCTTTGTTCAAGGCAACATCTGCAGGACTAAGTGCAGCATTCCTGTTCTTCCTTGGCCTCAGTACCACATCCCAAAACATTCCCTAATAACTATTACTACTGTTTTCTAAACATGCTTTGAACGTCTAAATGTCTTGCTAATCCCAAAGTTCTCCTTATCCAAACTACTAACCTCTAACACAGAGACGATCTGAATAGCCACCTTGCTGCCTCTGGTCTTGCTTACCTCTGTAACCTATGATGCAGCCAGAATGAAACTTTTCAACTGCAAATACAAAAAGTCATCTGTCTCCTTACCAAAATCCTGGTAATGGCTTCCCATTGCCCTAGGAAAAAGTAGAGGGTACATTCATGGGTACTGCTTTATGGGTATGCAAGGTCTGTTATGATTGGCTGGTCCTCTGCTCCCTTCTCTAGATGCCTTTACCACTGTTTCCCACTAACTACATTGCTTTCCAGCTTGATAAAATTGTCTGGTTCCTCTGCTCTTTGTGCATGCTATTTCTCCTCTGAAGCCTTCAATCTCTTAGCCAATGCCTGCTTATGTTCCAGGTCTCAGCTTAGATATCACTTTTTCTGAAAAACTTTTCCTGACCATGCAAAAGTAGTTTCAGACTTCTTCTATGTTATTCTTTGTTCAATACTATCCTTTTCTTTCCATAATGTAGCATTTTTTATATTGTAGGTTTGTCTTCCCAACAAGGCAATCAGTGCTGCAAGGACAGGCAATGTGCCTGATGCATAGACCATCGTGCTAGTGTTCACTATGTGCCTGGTACACAGAGGCTGTTTCATAAATATTTATTAAGTTTGCTTAAATATTAATAAAACTATTAGCATGATGTCTGCCACACAGTAAGTGCTTCACAGATGGCAGTTATTATATTATTATTAAATTAAAAGACTCCTTTTTTAGTTGACTCCTCAATGACCACATTAGTAGGAATTACCAGGAAATTAGAAAACATAAAAATAGGTATCTAAAAATTTCTAAAGAGTAAGATTTTGGGGATCACTTATTCATATCCCTCATTTCTAGATTGGGACCAGGAACGTAATGGGTGTCAAAAGGAACGTAATGGGTGTTAAAATTATTAGCTGAATTGGTGGAACAAAGTTATTTTTCTTTTAGAGTTAAAAAAAAGCTAACACTGTATTGTTGTTTAATATTTATACTGTTTGCAGCGCTGACACTTCAAGAGTGAAAACTCTGTCACAGAACCTCTGTTAAGTGTCTATGGTTTGAATATACACACACACACACCCCTCCACACACCCACACAGTTGTGATTAGAAGATTGGTTACATCATCCCATTCATTTCGCAGGGTTTAATGTGTGAAAGAAATCAGTTTCTCCAGGTAACTGTAACCATGGGAAACACAACAGTAGAGGCAAGAGAGGAAAATAAAATATTTCTAATGGCATAAAATTACTTCTACCTTTTGTGTCAGGCAAAAAATATGTTAATATAGGAAACTTGTTATTTATATGAACACTGATCATTAAAATATTTTCACAATAGTCTCACCTCTTTTTTCTTACTCTATCCTGAAAATAATCCTGTTTGTTAATCAACAATAGCTAGTGTTTACTGAATGCAAATGCTGAAGCTGAGCTCTGATGCAGACCTGATCATAGCTTTATCAATCATTTGAAAAAAGAGAGAAAACAGCTCACAAGAATGGTTCTACATTGGGACAAAAAGGGCCAGAACTTGGTAACCTCGTCTCAATCAGGGGCCCACTCAGAAGGGTGGGACCATAAGCAAAGTGGCTCATTAGACCTGAAGCAATTCTTGAGACCTAAAAGCTGTTTGTCAACAGCATTTGCAGAGAGCGGGCAACAGGCCCTTCATTAAAGAGAGATCTTGGTGACACATCACAGTGTCCAACCCATTCTACTCCTCATGTTGCTTGAATCCTCTCTTTCATTTATATGAAGAGGGCAGCATGTCCAAAATCTAGTAACCTATCTTCCTGGGGGAAATTTACAAAAAGATTGGTCTACAGCTGGTCTCAACTAATACTGATACTCTCCCTCCTCTATTATCTATTCCAGATTCCTCTCACCCTTGGCTGGCACTTCTGCCAGTTTCAGTTACTTAACTATTGGCCTGAACAATCGTTCCTGAAGGGTCTGAACCCCTGAGCCTCACAGTGGGGTGGTGGCTGCATTGTACATTTACTGTCACAACTGGTTGAGAAAGCACCAAGAGGCACCCAGTTGAGCAGTACCTCAACTGGGTACCAAACATATTTCTGCCTTTCCCCATTTTGTAACTGCATTTCCTATTCTTGATCATCAGAGTTAATTACCCAAGATCTGACTTCACTTCTTGTCTAATGTTCCCTATGAATAATAAGCTTGAATTACCCAGATATTAACCACAGCATATAGTTCAATGATCATTTTTATGTACCCCTGGTGAAAGTGTCCCCTCTTTGGGCCATGAGAACTGCAAATCCCAAAGTTGATGTGAAGATCATACTGCACATACAAAAGTTGTAGGGACAAGAAGCACAAGTTTCCCAAGGGGATTTGTGGGAGAGATTACAAGCAGAGCCACTCCTCTTTCCACCCCTTAGTTCCTGGACTCAAGTATTCTTCCTATTGAGAACACAGTGCTGTATAAAGATATGACTCAAGATATACACTAAATCCTGGAGGACAGCATCCCATCCTCATAATATAGATCTCCAAACCGCTGCTTCAGCTGGGACTTCAGCAGTCTATGACAACATCTTAGAATGCTCACTACCCAGTGAATATTTGATGTACATATTAAATGGTTGATATTATTGATATAACAGTTCATATCTCTTCAAACCATATCATGACAGAATGGCAGTTATACCACTGAGGCAAAACTGTTAAATGTATACTCTTGTCCTTTTCACAACTAAAACTGTTTCTGTTTTTCTTTTCTGACAGGAAAAAGAGAATAAATTTGCCAGATCAATGTCTGCATACCACGTGCCTGAGGGCATGTCATCTGCTTGAGCACAGATGTCACATGTGGTGTGGTGGCTACAATTAGCACTACTACTTGATTTCAGTTTATGATAGCATGCTGTCATCTTCCAAGATCCATCTAGTTTCTTCAGGGTCCAAACTGGGGATTAAATGGAGATATGATGTGAAACATCACCCCTGTGTCATTTAGAATCTTTAGGACAGTATTAATTTCCACCACTCCCAGTCCCCAGGATTTAATATTGTTTTGATTCATTAATTTGGATGAGGCAGGGGAGAGCATGTGAAAGTTCTCCACCTGGTCTTCCCTCACTACGATAGCTCTTATCCCACAGGTTAAAGGTCCAATGTGATAGTTGTACTGAATATCAAATATGCCCATTCAAATTGTGCCTTCAGTGACCAAAGAACTGACCAACAGGTGAGCTTAAGGATCCCAAAAGTCCCTCTTTGAGGTATACTTTGGCTAGAACTCCATTTATTGAGTGGATCCCATGTACACTGATTAGAAGAGGAAAAGAGGGAGTGTAGGAGGACATGTGATGCTTCAGGTTTCAAGGTATCAATGTCAACTCAGGCCTTGTGTCTAGCAATCTTCCAAACGTTTGTATATTCCTCTTTCCCTATCTTCAGTTGCCCTGGAACATGGTTGTTGCTTTCATTGGGGAAGGATGGGGAATCATTACTGCCACTGCTTACTGAGATATTGCCAGCTCCCTTAGGACCCAGGATCTTCTTCCATCATTGGGTTCTAGGTCCAAATGCTGGCTCTAGTTCAAACATTTGGCTAGTGATTATGGCTTTTTGTTGGCAAAACTACACTCAGTCTCCTTAACCATCCATACTTGATTTCTTCTGATGGTGCTAGCTGAGCACTATCTTTCTGGATTGCCTCTTATCTTGCCCTAGCAACATGTTCTTTATTTAGCACCTTCATAATGATCTGAGGATCACACCCCCTTCACTGCTTCTCTGACCTTAATGGTCTTTATGATAACTGCATTCACCTGGATTTTAAAAGTTCAGTGCTACCACCTGGTTTCAATTGTTTTTGCTCCTATCATCCCCATTGCTATCAATGAGACCAGTTCTAGATTGGTCTCTCCTATCACCAGCTCTGGCCTACAGAGGAGAGTCTACATGATGCTGGTGCAATTTTTATAGCCTTTGTAAATGGTGTATTCTCTGTCCCTTTCCCTAAAACCTAATCATCTGGTGGGTTTTCCAGCCTTACACAGAATATTTACTCTACATGCCCAGTTCCCTGAATTTTTAAATCCCTTCTTTCACCATCTTCCACAGCAAACCCAGCATTTCAACCTCACTGAGCATGGGCCATTGCTTTTCCCATGCTTCTAGCCCACTGTAATAACAATTCCTCACCATTTTCTGGGGTCTCTGTCACGGTATAAATTCTATATTTTGGGAGTGTACTCCCAGAATTATCAAACTCTCCTTCTTCCTTCTTCATTCTTATGTTCCTGCCCCTCTGATCAAGCACCCTTCAGAATCCAGTCCCTCATGTCTCCCCTGGCTCCTGTCCACACAGTCTAGCTGGGTCGTGCAGCTCCTTTGGGGTATAGTTCCTTTCCTCCATTTCCAAGCTCAGTGCTTCCCAGATTGATTATGCTGTTATTTAATCCTCATTAGTTTTATTCATTGTGGTGGCAGGGATATGAGGAGACATTCTGAGGGGTCACATGTTGACTTGCTAAGAAGAGACCTCTCTACTGTCTGCAAATACAAGGGATTTGGTGGAAGCTATTAAGAGAGAGAGAGAGCTGGCCAGTTCTGAAGGATCAGGACTTTCAGAGAAGTCTAGGGGTTTAAAAGTTCTGGAGTAACAACCCAGATGTTGCTATTGCATGTGCCAGTGTCCTATTCTTTCATGGCAGACTTACCTTGACTGGGAGTTTAATCTTCTTTGAGGCTCAGCCACTCTGATGATTAAGTACTATGCCTGATCCAGCTTTCTCTGACCTCCCTCTGCAGGACACAATGGGCTGTTTGTATGATAGGAAGGAAGCCCATTGGCTTGCACACAGGCTTTCGATTGACTATTAAGCAGTCTGTCTTTTGTTCTCTTTTTCTAGAGTGTCAAATGAGCTTAGCAATAGCCATCCAATTTCACTTCCCCTAACATTACTTTCTCCTCATACTTGTGGATGCTTGATATATAGAATCAGCTACTGCATCCCCTTCTACCCATTTACCAGCCAAATTTACCACCAGTAAAAGTTTTAACTATAGGACCACCACATGTCCAGGGTTGTCTGTGCTCCACAAACCTCAGAACATTGCCAGTCAGGCAGCAAGCAATCTCACCACCAAACCCCATCTTATTACCTGCTTTCTCAGACCATTCTAGGCATCAATTATGGCAGACTGAGTCATCTGATAATCAGACTCTGATATGAGGTTCGCTATGCAGAACTGTTCATTAAGGATTACCCTTGGGATCAATAACTGTGTGTGAGAGAGGAGAAGATATACAGAGTGCACAGGCGGAGATGTTCATCTGTGATATAATTTCAACAACAAACCCCACAGGGCTAGAGCAAAAATGGCCCAATGGTGTTGTCTTTCATTAGGCAAAAATGGCCAGGTCTTTATACCACTGGCTCAATCAGTAAATGCATGTGGGCTACCTCTGGGTAGTGGTGGGCAGGGTAGAGGGGCAGTATGAACTTGGGCAAGGGGGCTCTCTACAGCTTTGTCAATCCAGAGGGGCTAACAAATCCTTCCTTGAATGGAGATATAGGCACTGCAGCAAGGGGTCACCACCAGGGAGAGCCATTATTCAAAACTAGGCAGTCTGATTAAAGAGTTTTCCCTCTTAACCACTATACCACACACTCTCTCCTTACAAGGTGCTAGGCCTTTTTAACACCTAGAAATACAAGAAAAATTAATTAAAGCACAGCAGAGTTAATATACTAACTTAATAAAATGTGGTGTTCTGAAGTTGAACCCTGCTATAGTTCAAATGTCTCTTCCCTCTAAACTAATGTTGAAATTTGGTTGCAGTTGTGGCAGTGTTTGGAGATGAGACCTTTGCGAGGTGATGGGGTGTGAGGGCTCCACCCTCGGGGCAGGATTTGTGCCATTATAAAGTGTGAGTTTGGCCCCCTCCTTGCTCTCTTGTCCTTGTACCTTGTGCCATAGAAGGACACAGCAAGAAGGCCCTCATCAGACCAATGCCAGTGATTTTCCAACTTCCAGAACTGTGAGCCAATACATTTCTGTTAATTATAAATTATCCAGTTTCAGATATTCTCTTATAGTGGCACAAAAGGACTAAGACAAACCCCAATTTTCCTGAAACCAAAAACTTATTTATCATTTGATTGCTTCCACAGAATTGAAATATAATTTATCCTACTGTGAAAGTTTAACATGTGTTCATGGGATTATTGCTGTAATTTTCAGTGAATAATCTGTATTTTAAAATAATCAATCACCTAGGTCTAATGCCAAATGTTAGATAATACCAATAAAAATAAAAATGGCTATGAAATAACTTTCATGCTATAACACTCTTTACAAACTACAAATAAGTACAGCTCACCATAATTTACATGTAATTTATGAACAATATGACTCTGCAACACTCTATTAAAAACCAGAAATTATGTCTCTGAGCTTGGCTTATCTGGCTTAATAGCAACACAAGTAAGCATTAATTAAACATATTTACCAAGACAAAACTTGGGAAATCAAACAATATTTGCGATTTGAATTTAAAAACTCCTCTTCTTTGCATTTAACATATATAGGAAGAAGTCTTAAATCACCTTTTTAAACCTTAATCCTTTCTTGTACTTATCATATCCCACACTTAACCCAATCCCTAGAAGATGCCCCACAGTTAGCCAATCCCTAGAAGATGCCCCACAATTTTTCTTTTCCTGTGTTTTGGGTCATCCTGTTCCCTTTGCCCTATTTTCTATCTCTATCCATCTTTGCCAGTTAAGCATTATCTTGCCCTATATCAAATAAGATTTCATTATTCTTTCAAAATCTAAGTCAAACCCTACCACTTCCATGAAGTCTTCCCTTGACCCCATCAATCAAATAACAAATACCATATATTTACTGCCTCCAATGTGACAAGTGTTTTATGTATTTTATATATAATCCTTAAGTCAACCACACAAGATTGGATTTATTCTTAATTGTGGGTATACAGGCCCAGAGTCACACAAACCAACCAAACTAGTTTGCCAGGAACTGAAGTGGGGACTTTCAATGGTAAAAATGTACTGAGATGCTTCTCATGTTGGGCTTTCAGTGCTAAAACTGAGACTGAGTCGTTTCTCAGGATGTAGAACTTTCAGTGTTAAAACCAGACTGACCTGGGCAATCCAGGATCATTGTTCATCCTATTGACAGCTGGTAAGATGAGAGCTGGGATGCAAATCCAGGTCTATTTAACTTCAAAGCCCATGTTCTTTCTTCTACCACATTGCCTCCTTTAGGAATCTTCTTTTTAATTCCTGTGGTATCTTTTGCAAATTCTTTCATGACAATTGTTATATTTACCATTGCATCATAACTATCAATATATTTGTTATGTTGCTCTTGATAGACTCCCTTAAGAATGGGGCTTTGTCTGACTCACCTTTGAATCTCAGACAGCACCTAGCCTAGGATCCTGACTTGACCCCAGTAACCTCTGTGATCTCATCACCTACTTCTTTATCTTCCATTTATGTTCTATTATCTTCTATATTTCTTCTCATATTTCTTCTATTATCTTCTATATTATTATCTTGTATATTTTATGTTCTATTTAAAGCTACAACTCACTTCCCCTCCCCAGACTCCCAACCCACTTAGGCTTCCCTAATTTTCCTTTTTTACATACCACTATCACATTCTAACATTCATGTTATATAATTATTTATTATTACTGATTTATTACCTGCTTCTTCCTGGTATGATGTAAACTCCACAAGGGCAAAATATTTCTCTCTTTCGTTACTGATGTATTCCAAGAAGCTAGAACAGTGCCAGTAACAACTGGAACATTCCCAATAAATATTTGGCAAATAAATCAATGAATGAATAAATGAGGTTATTTTATTATATGCATAAATGCATACATGCATACTGTAACAAGAATGCTAGTGGCCAAGAATGTAGTTGTCAGAGTTGTAAATAATGCAAGAGACATATACAGATATGTCAGGATGTGGATTTCCTCTTAGTTGAAATTCAGTGTATCAGAGATGAGCTTTTCTTCTCTGCCTGTGAAGGACAGATGCTCCCATCCATTTCTGGAACAACACTGTTCAGTACAGTAGCCACCACCTATGAGGCACTCTAAATGTGAATTACATTCCAGCAGTTCTACTCTGAATTGAGATGTGACAAAGTATAAAATACACACCAGATCTCAAAGTCTTGGCATGACAAAATATCTTATTAGTATTTTTACATTTGTTACATATTTAAATGGTATTTTTGTATATATTCAGTTAGATAAATAATATAAAATGAACAAAATATTGGATTAAATTACAATTAATGTCAGCTGCTTCATTGTATGTTTTAAAATGTGGCTAATACAAACTTTAAAATTTTATGGGTCCAAAGGCAGAATTGCTTTAAAGAGTTCCATAACTCAAGATGCAAAGGCCATGAGAAGGACAAGGATAGCAGAACCTGGGATTGGCTGGCAGCAGAACAGACCAGACTTGGTTAGGCTAGGATCCAATCAACACAAAGTCTCATGAGGGGAAACCAGGTAATTTGCAAAGCTATAACCCTAGACAATGATGTGATGCATAGGCAGGTAAGTACTCAATATCAGAGAGGTCTGAAGTGGCAATAGACACAGATCCCAGCAGGCAGATGAATTCTTTCAGGGTGGAGCCTGATAGTATAGAATCAGTAGAGATCCAGGAAAGGAAGCAATCAGAATCAAAAGTCACTCAGGGCAACAGAAAAGACCCAATCTTAGGAAGACTTCAGCTCTGGAATTGAGGAGAATGAACCGAGTTCTAGGTAAGAGTGGAGGGCAAGACCTTAGTCATACAGGACATTAGTAAAGAACACAGTAAGTGCTCAGTTATTACCACTGCGGTATATGTACAGTGTGCAAAGTCCTGACAGCTGAGTCACTGAGCTGCTGATGGGGCAACTTTCATATTTCCCTATCCCTATGAAGAATATTGGTCCCAAAGTCATGAGTGAGCCAATGGCAATGATCGAGGAGTTGTGGGGCAGAATGCCCAACAGATACATTGGCTCCTGTCAACTAACTAGATGAAGAAAACCCTAGTAGTAAGACTTCAGGCAATCCTGGTTCTCCCACACCCTCAAAATTATGAACCTAATAACCTCCTCCTCAGTCACTGCCATGAACTGAGCTCTGAGAAGGCACAAATGTCCTCAGACCTACTTTATTCAAATGACAAACTATTTTCTAGTAAATTTGAAAATAGTTTTTCACTATATTCATTCTATAAAGACTGTTAAAGGGGGCTTAGCTACTAGAAATAGAACAATAACAAAACTGACACTTTTTCAAAGTGTTATTTTAATAAATGTTATTGTAAATTAGTATAGCCATTTTGGAAAAAAGTATAAAGGCTCTGTAATGGGAGGAGTTTTCCCTTATCCCCCTCACAGGGCATGTGATAGGGGTGGCTCATTTCTTCAGTGCCCCACTGCTCAGTCCTCTAGGGGAAGCATGCAGATGGGCAAGTCATGGGGCTCCAACACCACGGCAGTGTCTAGGATTGTTTACAGATCCCGAAGTCCCAGTGGGCATGTGTTAAACTGTGCTCTTTCTGCTGAGCTGTCTGCAGGCAGCTTGTGTTAATTAGCTCAATTAGACCCTCTGCCTTATTGCAAGGACAGAGGGCCTTCTGTATCCTGGGGTACTTGCCCTAGTATACCGGAAAAATTGGATTACACGTGAGCTTGGAGAATGAGTGCAATGTTTCATTGAGTGGTGGAAGTAGCTCTCAGGAGATGGGTGGGGAGCCAGAAAGGGGATGGAGTGGGAAGATGGTCTTCCCCTGGAGTCTGGCCGCGTAGTAACCGGGCTCTCCTCCAACCACCATTGGCTGAATTTCCTTCGGCGTCCACGTCATTCTGCCATCGATGGCCTGCTGACCTCTGTCAGTGTGTTTTTCTGCCAGTGTGTTCCTCTCAACATCCAGCTGCTTGTGGTATGTGCCTGCTAGGGTCTCGGGGTTTTTACAGGCACAGGATGGGGGGGCATGGCAGGCCAGAGTGGTCTTGGAAAGTGCAACACTTGGGCGTGAAAACAGGAGTGCCTGTCCTCACTTAGGTCTGTGGGTACAGGCCCAAGGGTGGAGCCCTCGCCAGGGACCCCACACCCTTCACCACCTAGCATTTCCCTGCCCCACTCCCATATCAGTTCCTCAAAAAAAAAAAAAGAAAGTCTAAAAATAGAATCACCATGTCATCCAGCACTCAATATCCAAGAACTGAAATCAGTATGTTGAAGAGATATCCACACTCCCGTGTTCATTGTAGGATTATTAACAATAGTCAAGATATGGGGGAAAAAACTACTATTTTTAACTGAGGCACTACCCTATGCCAGATTCACAGAAAATTTTATTTAGTCCCTTCAAAAATGCTACAAGGGAGATACCATTAATAGCTCCATTTTACCTCTGAGGAAGCTGAGGTTCATCATGTTTATATAATACCCATGGTCAAATCAGCCAGCAAGTTCTGAGGCCAGGATTCAGACTCAATCTACTTTGACTCAAGAGTCTAAACTCTTTCCTACTGTGCTATAAAGCAGAATTATAGGAGTATCATGGAATACAATAAACAATGAGACAAATCCATTACTTGCTGGGAAGTTAGAACAAGACCTGACCATGGAGGATGTAAACTGAGGAGCAGAATTGTAAGCCCAACCTGGGGAAAAAACAATAGCTATAAATCACAACTTTAACCAATATAAAACAATACTATCTCTACTTCCTTATCTCCCATTTAGCCCCTCCACCCCCACCAATCCAATGCCTGCCTTCATTAAGGACATCAATGCACCAATGACCAGGTTTTTTAATTCAAGGCCCTTTTTCAGTTCTCATCTTACCTGGCACATGATAGACTGATAGATACGTGTTGAGAAAAATCCATACATCTCATTCTATCAGGCCTCAGTTCACATATTCTCTGCCTAGAATAAGTCTTTTTCCCTCTTCCCTCCCTGGTTATCTGCTGCTCATTCTTTTAACGTAGCTTTCAACTTTTGATTTTTAACTTTAAATTTCCACTCAAGCTTTCAACTTAAACATCTTCTTCAGGGAGGCATTTCCTGACTATTCAAATCAGGTTGAGTCCTTCTTTTATATATTCTAATAAAAGTCTTGTGCTTTTCTAACTACATTTACCACTATAGGAATTAATTTCTATTTGGGTAATCATTTATTGTTTATATCAATTTCAACTCCACCCCTAAGACTATGAACCCTATATGGGTTTAGGTTTTGTTGTTGTTCGTTGTTAAGTGTTTTAACCACAAGGCCTGGCACTCAGTAGAGGCTTGATATCTATCTGATGAATGAATAAATAATGAATAAATAATTACATAAATAATAAGATGGGTCATTATAGGGTTTTCCTTTTTTACCTGTAGCTAAAAAGTATTATAAAACATGTTTAGCATCATAAAATTAATAATTTTATCAAGTGGAATAAAACCCATTAAAATCCAATTGGAATAAAACCCAAAGAGTCATAAGTATCATATCACAGAATCATACTCTTTGATCCAGAAGGCACAACTGGTCTACCCCCTCCATTTTCTTCATACATTCATTAACCCACTCAGCAAACATTTTCAGAGTCTACAGTAGTATAGAAATTAGGAGAATGCGCACTGAAGTCAAACTGCCTGAGTTTAAATATTGACTGCCACTTGTTAGGTGTGTAACTCAGTCTGTGTGCCTCAGTGTCCCACCATAGATTAGATATGATAGTATCTACATTATAGAGTTGTGCATGTAAAATGCTTAAACATTATCTGGTACATAGGAGCATATAAGAAACACTACCTATAATCTTTACTGCTGCTATTCATCAAGGTCTAGAGAATTTTACCTACCAAAATCTTCTAATAAATACATCTCTTTCCTCATATATGGACAAAATAAGCTTTATTTATATTAATGAGTCATTAATGGTAACTGTAAAGTTTATCAATATGTCTGTATTGTACATAATTTACTTATAAAATATATTATTTTCTGGGTAGGCATGTCAAGTAGAAGCTATTAAGCACATTTTAAATTAAAATTACATAATGTTAGACATACCTTTTCCACAAGCATACTGTAACCTTACTTTTCATATTCAACTACTCCCAAGCTGTGTGTCGTTTTTAGAACATAAAAGGAAGACAGAATATATTTAACCAAATGCATTAAAGAACCAGGAGCAGTTTCTGGTCAAGGATGTACAACCTGAATCTAATCATGAAAAAAAATCAGACAAACCCCAAATGAGAAATGTTCACTGATACATCCCAAGTGCCTAGAACGGTATGTACCCATCATGTAGTATACATTCATTAAGCATCTGTTGAATGAATGAATGATTAAATTCAACAAAAAGAAAATGAGAATTATTTTAAGGGAAAAAAAAGAAGCATAAGAAAAAAGCATGACGTGACTGAAATTTGGAAAACACAACCTCTTCTTCCTGGGCACCTAACTAGACCACATTTCCCAGGCTGCCCTGCAGTTAGGTGTGGCCTTCTAAGTTCTAAACAATGGAATGTGAGCACAAATGATAAGCACTATTTACAAGCCTAGGCATTAAAACCCCAAGCAAAAATTCTCCATTTTGTTTTCTCATCTGAAGGCTAAATACAGAGGCCTCAGAGACCTAGAGGATGGTGATGAGTAACAAGTTATAAGGAGCCTCTGCACCTGAAAGACCATGATGAATGCTGTCCACATCAGAAACACCACTACTGCACTTTGAGTGAGTGAGAAATGAACTTCTACTGTGGAAAGCCACTGAGATGTGGTGGTTTGTTTATGCCAACAGGTAACATTTTCCTGACAGTCTGAAGGTCACATACACCAAGGAGATTCTTCTTTGGTGGAACCTTATATATAAATATACAACAGAGAAGAATAAGATCCTATAAGAAAAACAAAAGACACGGTAACCTGAAGATAACAATGAATCATGTCTAAGACAGTTTGTTTAAAATAGGCAAGGAGAGATTCTTTAAGTAAAATGAATCCATTGAAATTGATTTAAGGTGATTAAAGGTTTATAATAAAATACATTAAGCGGAGCTAATCATGGTCAATTTGGCAAAACTTGTTTTCAAAGGTATATTTTCCAAGGAAAAGGACTGAAAATGGGGAGTCTAATGAATGAATCCCTAAATAAATTGTACCAGTGAATAGCTATAGACATTTTATTTAATTGAGGCTAATGTACTTTAAAATGTATTACATAGTCAACATACTTATTGAACTTTTCTGTATTGTGCAGGATTCTCATAATGCTTGTCTATACTAATTTTTCATGTATATAAATATGCACATATTATTAATGTTGAGAAACAGAATGTACCCATATTAGCAGCAAATTATAAGATGAATACAAAATACAATATCAGATTGATCAATTAAAATTAATTGCAAAATCTTCCAACTTCATTGCCAAGCCAATTATTTACAAAGACGCTGTTTGTTTATTTTTTGTAATACTAGCTCATTTTTAAATATGGCAATATCTGAGTTTAGAAGAAGTCATTATCTTCTCACCTTATCAATTATTATGAAAGTTCAATTTAATCAATACAAATCTTTAAAAATAGGAAACATAATAGTATTCCTCATTCTAAACTGCTACCTACATATAACAATTTCTACAGGCAGAAATAAAAGTCACTGAAAAAGAAAGAGGTCCAAGTGATTTAGATTTATTACTATGAAGGAGTCCTTGAAAGCCTACTTCCTTCTCTTGTTCTCTTCCTTTCCCTTTCCCATTCACTGCTTTTCAATGTGGTCTCTGCATTTTTGTTTTTCCATATTAAAACAGGTTTTATACTCTAGTCTCTCAGGCAGGCTCCTCCAATTGACTATTTCACTTTGAGTCTTCACTTTGAGTTATCATTCTACCCAAATACTTGTTGTTCATTCCAAAGTCTTGCACTTCATTGGTAAAGACGAAAACTAGTTTAAGGAAGAAATGGAAGGAATGAAGGTATATGGGGAAAAACTTGATTAACAGGTACTGCAGTTATTAAAGAGGTCTATATATACCTACTGTATAACCACAACGTTTAAAAATAAACAAACCATTAAAAAATAAAAATAAAAAAGTCTGACATCAGGGTACCAAGGAAAAATAATTTCTGAGGTTAAAGTCTTTAATGAATTCTGAAATAGCTCTGAATATAGCTCAACTTTGACTGTCTTTTTTCTGTGTATATGAGATGGTGATCATTACAACTGTTCATAAAGATTATGTTTAATTTTGAAATTCAAATTTAAAATGAAAATGCATAAAAGCTTATCAAGTCCAGGCCAATTAATTAGTTGGGACATATGCTATAAAGACAGAATATACTATTTCTAAAACATGGTAAATTAACCCAAATCCTGGCATGTTATACAAAAGTAAAAGTGAGGAGAAGATTTAGTATAATCTTTCATATTTGCATTATTTGTCTTATAATGGTGCAAAACAAGGTATGTTGAGGGAGTGACAAAGGAACAACTATTTGTGAGAATAATCTTGAACTAGCTTCCCTGATTGCCCAGGAAGATTGTCCTTCCTCTCTCTGCCATCACAGAGATGATCTTCCTGGATAATAAAGGATTTCTCTTCAGCCTCAGTTATACTAATCATTGTCCTCCTTTCCTAAATATTAATTTCAGTAGTCTACATAGTCCATTCAGAGAGAAAGGGAAGCAGAGTACATAATGTTAGAATACCTTTAAAAATGTTTAAATAGTTGATTTTTTCCTAGGTGCTAAATATTTTTTTAAAAATTTTCCGAGTCATACAAATATCCTCCATTATTTTCATACATGATTTATAATACCCACAGGTGAAAAACATCTACCCACAAATGGAAAGTTTTCCATATAAGGTTAAGCAACACACATAATTTAGATGGTGTTATTTTAGACTAGTATAAAATAATTCTTTTTGCTTTGTTTTGGCAGTAATTCATTTTTACTTCAAAATTTGATAGGAGAGGAAAACAGATGTCTAGTGAGATTGTACTTTATAAGGGAAAAAATAATTTAATATATGATGCTTAGGAAGGTACCAGAAGTCAAGTTCAAAAGGAAAGGAATAGCTCTCCTTTGGTTCCCCTCCTACATTTATCCTTTGTTTCTAGTGATCCCTAGCATACAGTTTTCTGCTAACAAATATGATCTCCAGGGAAGCTGCCTGAGAATCATGATATCTAAAGCTAAAAAAGATCATGCAGATTTTCTAGTCCAATTGTTTAATGCTTTAAGAGGCCAGGCAGAAAACTGAAGTGGAGTGTGTGTACCATAGCAGAGAGCGAAGGTCCCTCTTCAAATGTGTTCAAAACAAACAGAACGTGCTTTAGCACAATGTGAGAGTCTAACAAAACAAGGATACAGAGTGGATATCCATTTATATTCTCTGATTACAATTTTTAAACTCAGTGCTATTAAGCTTATATTTGTTAGCCTTTTATACTTTCAAGATTGTCTTTCTTTTTCTCCTGAGGCACTAAGAAGCTGGAACTTAATTCTACCTTATAACATACTGCATAATTATTGAGAACAGTGTTTTGTACTTGTCTTAAATTACTATTCCCTTCTCCATCCCACCCCAGCATCCAACAAAGTCCTGAACACATATCATGTCCAGTAAATGCATGAATTGAGCTTTAAGAGATGACTTCCTTGCCTCCTTTCTTCGACCTTAGCAAGAGATTTCATTCTTGATCAAAGCCCATTTCTCCACCAATGGTTTCAACTCCATCTTCTCCTCATATCCTCCAGGATCTTAGTCCTTCTTCCTCATACATTCTCATTCTCTTCCATTTCTACAAGCTCCTTCTCCTCACCCTATACACATTTCAAGTTTCTCTCCTCTAAGAAAAATAAAATCCTTCCTTGACCTTGTAGTTAGTTACTGCCATATCTCCTTCTCAATTAAAATTCTTCAAAAACTCATCTGTTTATCCTTCCTTTCTTCAGGAGTAGATGTGTACAACATGTACCCCAAAACTCTTCTGGCTTCTGTTACCCAGTTCCAAAGCCACATCCATATTTCTAGGTAATTAATATAGCAGCAATCCATTTCTTCAGACCAATTTTCTGTCTTAGTCTGTTCAGGTTGCTACAACAAAATACCTTAGACTGGGAGCTTATAAACAACAGAAATATTTTTCTGACAGTTATGGAAGCTAGAAAGTCCAAGATCAAGGCACCGGCCGACTCAGTGCCTGGTAAGAGCCCATTTCCTGATCCTGATGGTACCTTCTCAAATGGTGAAAGGACAATGCAGATCTCTGGGGCCTCTTTCATAAAGGCACTAATCCCATTCTTGAGGGCTCTGCCTCCATGACCTAATTACTTCCCAAAGGCCTCACTTTCTAATATCATCACATTGGTAATTAGGTTTCTTTTTCTCTTTTTTTGGTAATTCGGTTTCAACACATGAATTTTGGGGGTATACAAACATTCAGACCATTAGCAAAGGGGAAACATCCTCTCTGATCAGATAGCTGTGTTCCAAAAATGGTAGAATAAACATCTACTTTTCAGTTTGGAGGTTTTGTTTGTTAGTTTAATTATTTGTCTTCCTGGTGCTAAGCTCCAGACATGGGCATGGTCAGCTAAAGTGTGCATGTGCAGCAGACCAGGTAATTAAAGTCTCAAGTCTTTGGCCAGAGGACCAGAACAAGGAAGGTCGGGACCTGAAAACTACTATACCAAGGAGATCACAGAGAGAGAATAACTCATGAAAAAGACCCCGTAGAGTTGTTTATGAACTCTGGAGCTTACCCCTAAGCTTATATTTATGAATCAGACACTAAACAACATATCAAAGGCTACAAGAAGAGACCTATGGATTGGCCACCTCCCTAATCTCAGACTGGCCTCCTATAGGACAGATCTAAACAACACTGCAAAAACTTTATATGTGGAACTGACAAGAACCAGACATGACAACAGAAAATAGGTCAGTCATGACTTGTGTCTAAAATGAACCAGGTGGATTATCTACTAAACTAAAAATATCAAGATTTATACGTAATATGATATATATGATTTATATCATAATATTCAAAATGTTTAGGATATAATTCATATTTACTCCATGTTCAAAAATATAGGAAAATATCAATTTCCATAGGAAAATATAATTAACATATGCCAAAACCAAGATAGTACAGATGTTGGAATTATCAAAGACTTCAAAGCAGGTATTATAAAAATGTTAAAAGAAGTAAAGCCACACACTTTTGAAATGAACAGATGGTATAAACTATCAGCAAAGAAATATAAGATCCAGATTAAAATTTTAGAACTACAGCATACAATAACTCATTTTGAATGTATATATAAATTTGAATGAACTCAAAAGTAAAATAAAGATGACACAAGATATCATTGAATTTGAAAATAGATCAAAATAAATTATCCAAATTGAACAACAACAAAAAATTTAAATAAATTAATAGAGCCTGGAGACTTGTGAGAAAATAACAAAAGGTCTAATATTTATGTCAATGGAATATCTAAAGAAGAGAATAAAGAGTATGAAGCAGAAAAAAAATTAGAGTAAATAATGCCTGAAACCCTCGAAATTTAGTGAAAAATATAAACTTACATATTTAAAAGTATCAGAGAACACTAAATAGAATAAACCCACCCATAGAAATCAAAATCAAGAGACATAATCAAACTGCTGAAGACTAAAGACAAGAAAAAAAAATTGAAAGCAAGAAGAGATAAACAATGCACTAGCTATGATTCAAATAATTGTGAATTTCTCATCAGAAGCCATGGAGGCCTGAAGGAAATAGAACAGGTTTAAAGTGTTGAAAGAAAAGAACCAACAACCTAGAATTTTATATTTAGTGAAAACATCTTCAGAAATAAAGACAAATGAAATAAAGACATTCTCTGCAGGAAAAAAATAAAATAAGAGAATTCACACAAGCAGATGTGGTCTAAAAGAATTGCTGAAGGAAGTTCTTCAGAGAGAAGGGAAATGATGTGAGCAGGAAACCTTGAATGTAGGGAATGAAAGAAGAACAGAAATGGTAAATATCTGGTTAAATCTCCTCAAGTTCTTTATCCTCAAGCTCTTTAAAATACATTTGATGGTTGAAAACAAAATTGTTACATTTTTCTGATGGGATTTTTAATGTATGGATATATAGTACACAAGGCAACTACAAATTAAGGAGAGATGGTAAAGGACCTATATACTGGTAAGGTTTCTACATCTCACTTGAAGTGGTAAGATATTGATTCTAAGTAAACTGTCAAAGTTAAGTGATTTCATTTTAATTCCTAGAGCATCCATTTACAATGTTAGATTAAGGGACATAATCAAAAACATGCTAGGTTAACAAAACTGGAATGCTGAGAAGGTTCGAATGAGTAAAAAGAAGGCAGAAAAGAGAAATGGAATAAAAAATAGTTAACAATCAAATCAAATAACAAAATGATTGATGGAAACTCAAATATAAGTATAAATTCTCTAAAAACACCAATACAGAAAATTTCAGAATAAAACCAAAACCAAAAAATAAAAGACCAAAATATATGTTTTTTTACAAGAAACTCAGTTCAAATATAATGACATATGTATGTTAAAAGCAAAAAGACGGTGGTTCCAAAATGGAAGCATAGAAGCAAACTAGCTTCACTCTCTGCAATCTCTGAAAACAAAAAAACAAATACACCACACCAAACTTTCCATCAGAAATATCCCAGAATTTAAATATGAAAATGAGACACTTCACAGAGCAAAAGAGAGGTGAAAAAACTCTCAGAAGACTGTAAGAGAATTAGATATCCACATCCATGATACCTCTCCCCAATTCTGCCCAGCACTAAGCATGTGGAAAATTTCCCCCAAATTCACTATTTCTACACTGGAAAAAGTGAGCTCATGGTGAAACCTAGTTTCCCCACCATTGTGGGTTCCCTGGCAGGAGACCTGTCCCTGCCTTAACCCATGTGAAGCATTGCGAATGTATGAAGGGAGGTATAACCCTGAAGACAGGCAGAAACAAAGCAGGGAGGTGGAACTACCATCCCCAGTCCTGGAAACTGCTCTGTAACTTGGCCAAAGAAGACACCAAATCAGAGTGACTGTTCAGTATCACCATGCTGTACGGGGTTCTTCTAATAGGTCCCTTGGGCATGAACCCCTAACCAACCTTCCCATACCACACATCCCTTTTAGGATCACCCCTGTTGGCTTAAGGCACCACCTAGAGCCAAAAAGGAGGCAGCAACCTAGCAGTAAAGAAACTCTATACAAATATATCCAATACAAACCAAAACAAACCAGACAGAGAAGACTGGAATAAATAATCCTTCAATGCAAAGACATAGACATCTACAAGAAATAACAGCAAACAGGGAACCAAACTATGATCTCCCCAAATAGACAAATCAGGAAACCAGGAATTGACCCTAATGAGACAGCAATATTTGAGCTCTCCGGCCAAGAATTCGAGATAGTAGTTTTAAAGAAACTCAGTGATCTCCAAGCTACCACAGAAAAGCAATTCACAAATTTATTGAAGAAACTTAACAAAGAGGTTGAAATAATAATTTTAAGAAATCAAACACAAATCTTGGAACTGAGAAATACATTTTCTTAACTGAAAAATTCATTAGAGGCTATCGACAATAGAATGGATGAAACAGAGGAAAGACATCAGTGAGCTTGAAGACAGGCTATTTCAAAATACACAGAGGAGAAAAATGAAGAAAAAAGGCATTGAAGATCACCTATAAGATAGAAAATTACCTCAAAAGATCAAATCTAAGAATTATTAATGCTCGAGAGAGAGAGAGATGACCAACAAGGGGAAGAAAGTTTATTCAAAGAAGAAACAATAGAAAACGCCCTACAACATGAGAAAGATATAAATTTATCCAGGTAGAGAAAGGTCAGAGAATCCCAAGCAGATTTGACCCAAGTAAGACTACCCCAGAGTCAGCTGTAGTGGCTGACGCCTGTAATCCCAGCACCTTGGAAGGCCAAGATGGGAGGATTTCTTGAGGCCAGGAAATCAAGACCAGCCTGGGCAACATAGTGAGACCCAAGCTCTACAAAAAATTAAAAAAATAAAAATAGCTGGCCATGGTGGTATACACCTGTAGTCCCAGTTACTCAGAAGGCTGAGGCAGGAGGATTGCTTGAGCCCAGGAGGTTGAAGTCACAGTGAGCCACGATCATGCCACTGCACTACAGCCTGCGTGACAGAGCAAAACCTGGTCAAAAAAAAAAAAAAAACAAACACAAAAAAACTATCTCGCAAAGGTCAAGGACAAAGAACAAAGAGAGAGAAAAGAAGCTAATAATGAACAAAGACACTCCAATTTATCTGTTAACAGACTTCATTCAATGGAAACCATACAGGCCCAGAGGAAGCAGAAGGATATTTTCAAAGTGCTGAAAGAAAACAAAAATCTACTGCCATCCAAGAATATAGCAGCCAGCAAAGTTATCTTTCTAATATGAAGGAGAAATAAAGTCTTTCCTAGACAAAGGCTGAGCAAATTTACCACTACCAGACCTGTCTTACAAGAAATGATAAAGGGAGTTATTCAAATCTGAAAGAAAAAAAGAAACAGTAATATGCAATAAAAAAAAGCCACCATCAATGAAAACAACAAACATTTGAAGATATAAAATCCACTGGTAAAACTACACAGAAAAACCCAAAATAATACTGTAATTATGGTATAGAGTATACCCATAACTCTAGTATGAAACCCAAAAGACAAATCTATCAAAAACAGTAATAGCTATAGCAACTTGTTAAGAGATAGGTAATATAATAATATGTAAATTAAGACAACTAAAAGTTAAAATGTAGCAGAGATAAAGTTAAAATGTAAGGAGCTTTTTGTTGTTTTTCCTTTGTTTCTATTCATTTATTTATGATCAAAGATAAGCTGCCATCTCTTTAAAATAACTTGTTATATCTATAAGATGTTTTTCATAAGCCTCATGGTAACCACAATACAAAAACTGATAATAGATTCACTAAAAATAAAAAGCAGCCAGGCACGGTGGCTCATGCCTGTAATCTCAGCACTTTGGGAGGCCAAGGTAGGCGGATCGCGAGGTCAGGAGTTTGAGACCAGGCTCATCAACATGGTGAAACCTCATCTCTACTAAAAATACAAAAATTGGCTGGGCATGATGGCATGTGCCTGTAATCCCAGCTACTTGGGAGGCTGAGGCAGGAGAATCACTTGAACCCAGGAGGAGGAAGTTGCAGTGAGCCAAGATTGTGCCACTGCACTCCAGCCTGAGTGACAGAGCAAGACTCCGTCTCAAAAAAAAAATAAAAATAAATAAATAAAATAAAAAGCAACAAATTAAAACATACTACCAGAGAAAAATCCCTTAATCACAAAGAAAGGCAATAAGAAAGAAAGAAAGGAGTTACAAAACAACCAGAAAACAAACAACAAATTGGCAGTAGTAAGTCCTTATTTATCAATAAGAACACTGAATGTAAATTGACTCAATTAAAAGGCATACAGTGGCTGAATAGATAAAGAATCAAGAATCGGCTGGGCGCGGTGGCTCACGCCTGTAATCCCAGCACTTTGGGAGGCCGAGGCGGGCGGATCACAAGGTCAGGAGATCGAGACCATCTTGGCTAACACGGTGAAACCCCGTCTCTACTAAAAATACAAAAAATTAGCCGGGCGCGGTGGTGGGCGCCTGTAGTCCCAGCTACTGGGGAGGCTGAGGCAGGAGAATGGCGTGAACCTGGGAGGCGGAGCTTACAGTGAGCCGAGATTGCGCCACTGCAATCCGGCCTGGGCTAAACAGCGGGACTCTGTCTCAAAAAAAAAAAAAAAAAAAAAAAAAAAAAAAAAAAAAAGAATCAAGAAGCAACTATATACTGCCAATAAGAAACCCATTTCACTTATAGACTGAAAGTAAAGGGGTTGAAAAAGATATTCCATGCAGCTAGAAACCAAAAAAGAACAGGAGTAGCTGTACTTATTTCAGATAAAATAGACTACAAATCGGCCAGGCCCCATGGCTCACGCCTGTAATCCTAGCACTTTGGGAGGCTGAGACAGGTGGATCACAAGGTCAGGAGTTGAAAACCAGCATGGCCAAGATGGTGAAACCTCGTCTCTACTAAAAATACAAAAAAAAATTAGCTGGGTGTGGTGGCGGGCACCTGTAATCCCAGCTACTCGAGAGGCTGAGGCAGAGAATTGCTTGAACCCAGAAGGTGGGGGTTTCAGTGAGCTGAGACTGCACCACTGCACTCCAGCCTGGGCGACAGAGCGAGATTCCACCTTGAAAAAAAAAACAGACTACAAATCAAAGACTGTAAAAAGAGACAAAGAAAGTAATTATATAATGATAAAGGGGCCAAGTCAACAAATGGAAATAAAAATTATAAATATCTATGTACCCAACACCAGAGATCCCAAGCATATAAACCAAACATTGATAGATTAGAAGGGAGAGATTGACTGCAGTACAGTACTTGTAAGGAACATTAACACTCCACTCTCAGTATGCACAGATCATCCAAACAAAAAAAAAAAATCAGAGTTAAACTACACACTAGACCTAGTAGGTCTAACTGACATTTATAGAACATTTCACCCAACTGTTGCAGAATACAAATTCCTTTCATTAGAACATGAACATTCTCCAGATTAGACCATATCTTAGACTACAAAACAAGTCTCAAAGAGTTCAGAGAAGTAGAAATCACCTCAAGTATCACTTGTGACCACAATGAAATAAAACTAGAAATCAATAACCAAGCGAATCTCAGAAGCTTCATAAACACATGGAAATTCAACAACATGCTCTTGAACATATTAAGTCAATAAAAAAATTATGAAGGAAATTTTAAAATTTCTTAAAATAAATTAATATGGAAATACAACATAGTAAAATCTATGGAATACAGCATAAGCAGTACTAAGAGGAACGTTTATAGCAATACATACCTATATCAAAAACGTAGAAAGATTTCAGATAACCTAATGGTGCACCTCAAGGAAATCGAAAAGTAAGAATAAACCAAATCCAAAATGAGTAAAGGAAAGAAATAAGAATGATCAAAGCAAAAATAAATTGAGACTAAAAAAGTACAGAAGATCAATAAAATGAAAAATTGTTTTTTAAAAGATAAACAAAATCAACAAACTAAAAGCTAGACTAAGAAAAGCAAGAGACCCAAATCAACAAACTAAAATCAACAAACTAAATCAACAAACTAAAAAACAAACTAAAAGCTAGACTAAGAAAAACAAAAGACCCAAATAAGTAACATCAGAAATGAAAAAGGAGACAAAACAACTGAGATCTCATAAATATAATGAATCATTAGAAACTATTATGAATAATCATATACCAACAAGTTGGAAAAGCTAGAAGAAATGAATGAATTCTCAGATACATATAACCTATCAAGATTGAACCAGGAATAAAAAACTTTACTAAACCAATAATGAGCAATGAGATTGAAGCTGTGGTAAAAAGTCTCCCACCAAAGAAAAGCCCAGGACCTGATGGCTTCACTGCTACATTCTACCAAACATTTAAAGAACTAATACCAATACTATTCTGACTCTTCAAACAAATTGAAGAGGGTATACATCTAAAGTCAACCTGTGAGTCCAGCATCACCCTGATACCAAAACAAGGACAATGAAAAAAGAAAAATACTGACCAATATCACTGATTAACATAGGCAAAAATCCTCAACAAAATACTAGCGAACAGAATTCAATATCACAATAAAAAAATCATATACCATGATCAAGTGAAATTTATCCCAGGGATTCAAGGATGGTTCAACATATAGAAATCAATAAATGTAACACATCATATTAGACTGTTGCGGGGTGGGGGGAGTGGGGAGGGATAGCATTGGGAGATATACCTAATGCTAGATGACCAGTTAGTGGGTGCAGCGCACCAGCATGGCACATGTATACATATGTAACTAACCTGCTCATTGTGCACATGTACCCTAAAACTTAAAGTATAATAATAATAAATAAATTAAAAAAATACATCATATTAATAGAACCAAGAACAAAAACTAAATAATTATTTCAATAGATGCAAAAAATGTATTTGGTAAAATTCAACATCCTTTATAAAAATTCTCATCAAACTTGATATAGAAGGAACATAACTCAAAATAATAAAGACCATATATGTCAAACCCACAGCTAACATCATACTGAATAGGGAAAAATAAAAGGCTTTTCCCCTAAGATCAGAAAGAAGACAAGGATACTCACTTTCACAACTTTTATTCAATATAGCACTGGAAGTCCTGGCCAGAGTAATTGGAAAGAGAAAGGAATGAAGGGCATGTAAGTTGAAAAGGAAAAAGTCAAATTAGCCTTGTTCACAGAAGATATAATCCTATGTTTACAAATACCTAAAGAACCCACACTGAAACTGCTAGAACTGATAAATGAATTCAGTAAAGTTATAGGACATAAAATCAACATTAAAAAATCAGTAGCACTTATATATTCCAAAAGCAAACAATCTGAAAAACAATAAAGTAAGCAATCTTATTTACAATAGCTACAAATAATTAAAATACCTTGGTATCAATTTAACCAAAAAAGTGAACGATAAATACAAGAAAAGCTATAAAACATTCATGGAATAAATTGTAAACACATGAAAACATGGAAAAATATTCCATGCTCATGGATTAAAATAATTAATATGGTTAAAATGTCACTACTACCCAAGGCAATTTACAGATTCAATGCAACCCCTATCAAAACACCAATGACATTATTCACAGAAATGGAAAAAATAATCCTAAAATTTATATGGAACCACAAAAGGCCCAGAATACTTGAAGCAATCCCAAAAAAGAACAAAGCTGGATGCACCACATTACCTGACTTCAAAATTTATTGCAAAGCTGTAGTAACCAAATCAGCATGGTACTGGCATAAAAACAGACACATAGACAAATGGAACAGAATAGACAACCCAGATATAAATCTATGCACTTACAGTCAATTCATCTTGGACAAAGCTACCAAGAACATACAATGGGGAAAGGACAGTCTCTAACATAAATGATACTAGAAAAACTGGATAGCTATATGAAGAAGAAGAAAGCTAGACCCCTACCTCTCACCATATACAAAAATCTGATCAAAATGGATTAAAGATTTAAATCTAAAACCTCAGACTATGAAACTATTAGAAGAAAACATTGGAAAAATACTCCAGGACATTGGTCTAGGCAAAGATTTTGTAAGACCTCAAAAGCACAGATAACCAAAGTAAGAATAGACAAATAAGATTACATCAAGCCAAAAACTCCTGCACAGCAAAGGAAACAATCAACAAGTGAAGAGACAACCCACAGAATGGGAGAAAATATTTGCAGACTATCTATCCAACAAAGGATTAACAATCAGATTATGTAAGGAGCTCAAACAACTCAATAGGAAAAAAATCTAATAAAGTGATTTTAAAACGGGCAAAAGATATGAATAGACATTTCCCAAAAGAAGACATACAAATGGCAAACAAGTATATAAAAAGATGCTCAACATCACTAATCATCAGAGAAATGCATATCAAAACTACAATGAAATATCAACTTATCCCAGTTAAAATGGCATTTATCAAAAAGGCAATAATGAATGCTGGCAAGGAAGTGGGGAAAGAGGAACTCTTGTACATTGTTAGTGGAAATGTAAATTAGTACAGTCATTATGGAGAACAGTATGAAGGTTCCTCAAAAAATGAAAAATAGAATTGTCATATGATCCAGTAATTCCACTACTGTATATATAGCCAAAAGAAAAGAAACCAATATATGGGAAAGACATCTGCACTCCCATGGTTACTGCAGCACTACTCTAAATAGCTAAAATACAGAAGCAACCTAAGTGCCATCAATGGACAAAAGGATAAAGAAAATGTTGTACATATACACCAAGAAGTATTATTCAGCCATAAAAAAGAAACATTGCATGATCTCAGTCATATGTGGAAGCTAAGAGTGAATCTCATGAAAATAGAGAATAAATTGGTGGTTATAGAGGCAAGGAAAGGTAAGGGGGAGGGAGGAATGAAGAGAAGTTGATGAATGGTGTATTAGTCCATTCTCATGCTGCTAACAAAGACATACCTGAGACTGGGTAATTTATAAAAGAAAGAGGTTTAATTGACTCACAGTTCAGCTTGGCTGGGGAGGCTGCAGGAAAATTACAATCACGGTGGAAGGGGAAGCAAACACATCTTTCTTCACATGGCGGCAGGACAGAGAGGAACTGAGCAAAAGGAATAAAAGTTCATTATAAAACCATCAGATATCATGAGAACTCACTATCATAAGAAGAGCATGAGGGTAATTGTCTCCATGATTCAATTACCTCCCACTGGGTCCCTCCCATGACCCATGGGGATTATGAGAACTACAATTCAAGATGAGATTTGGGTGGGGACACAGCCAAACTATATCATTCTGCCCCTGGCCCCTCCTAAATGTCATGATTTCACATTTGAAAACACAATCGTGCCCTTCCAACAGTCCCCAAAGTCTTAACTCATTCCAGCATTAACTCAAAAGTCCAAGTCCAAAGTCTCATCTGAGACAAGTCCCTTCCACCTATGAGCCTGTAAAATCAAAAGCAAGTTAGTTACTTCCTAGATACAATGGGACCATTAAGTAAACACACCCATTCCAAATTGGAGAAACTGACCAAAAGAAAGGAGCTACAGGCCCCATGCAAGTCTGAAGTCCAATAGGGCAGTCATTAAACCTTAAAGTTCCAAAATGATCTCCTTTGACTCTATGTCTCACATCCAGTTCATGCTGATGCAAGAGGTGGACTCCCACAGATTTGGCAGCTCTGTCCCAGTGGCTTTCCAGAGTACAGCCCCTCTCCTGGCTGCTTTCATGGCTGGCATTGAGTGTCTATAGCTTTTCCAGGTGCACTGTTGGTGGAGCTACCATTCTGGGGTCTGGAGGATGGTGGCTGTCTTCTCACAGCTCCACCAGGCTGTGCTCCAGTGGGGGCTCTGTGTGGGGAGCCCCACTGGACCGTTCACCCTTTTAGCTTCCCATATTTGCCTTCCACACTACCCTAGCAGAGGTTCTCCATGAGGGCTCCACCCCTACAGCAAACTTGTGCCTGGACATCCAGGCATTTCCATACATCCTCTCAAATCTAGGCAGAGGTTCCCAAACCTCAATTCTTGACTTCTGTGCACTTGCATGCCCAACACCACATGTAAGCCGCCAAGGCTAGGGGCTTGTACCCTCTGAAGCAAAGGCCTGAGATGTACACTGGCCCACTTTAGCCACAGCTGGAGCTGAAGCAGTTGGGATTCAGGGCACCATGTCCTGAGGTGGCATAGAGCAGGGGGGCCCTGGGCCCAGCTCAAGAAACCATTGTTCCCTCCTAGGCTTCCAGGCCTGTGATGGGAGGGGCTGCTGTGAGGGTCTCTGACATGCCCTGGAGACATTTTCCCCATTGTCCTGGTGATTAAAATTTGGTTCCTCATTACTCATGCAAATTTCTGCAGCCAGCTTGAATTTCTCCTTAGAAAATGGGTTTTTCTTTTGTATTGCATCCTCAGGCTGCAAATTTTCCAAATGTTAATGCTCTGCTTCCCTTTTAAACATAAGTTATAATTCCAAACCATATCTTTGTGACTACATAAAAATGAATGCTTTTAACAGCAAACAAGTCACTTCTTGAACACTTTGTTGCTTAGAAATTTCTTCTGCTAGATACCCTAAATCAACTCTCTCAAGTTCAAAGTTCCACAGATCTCTAGGGCAGGGTAATATACTGCCAGTTTCTTTGCATAGCAAGAGTGACCTTTACTCCAGTACCCAACAAGTTCCTAATCTCCATCTGAGACCACCTCAGCCTGGACTTCATTGTCCATATCACTATCAGCATTTTGGTCAAAGCCATTTAACAAGTCTCTAGGAAGTTCCAAGCTTTTCACATCTTCCTGTCTTCTGAGCCCGCCAATTCTCTAGGAAATTCCAATCTTTCCCACATTTTCCTATCTTCCTCTGAGCCCTCCAAACTGTTTCAACCTATGCCTGTTACCAAGTTCCAAAGTTGCTTCCACAATTTTGGGTATCTTTACAGCAGCACCCCACTACCTGGTACCAATTTACTATATTAGTCCATTCTCATGCTGCTAATAAAGACATATCCAAAACTGGGTAATCTATAAGGGGAAAGAGGTTGAATTGACTCACAGTTCCACATGTCTGGGGAGGCCGCAGGAAACTTAAAATCATGGCAGAAGGGAAAGCAAACACGTCCTTCTGCACATGGCAGCAGGTGAGAGGTACCAAGTAAAAGGGGGAAAAGCCCCTTATAAAGCCACCAGATCTCATGAGAACTCACTATCATGAGAACAGCATGAAGGTATCTGCCTCTCTGATTCAATTACTTCAGTTACATAACATGTGAAGATTATGGGAAATACATTCAAGATGAGATTTTGGTGGGGACACAGCCAAATCATATCAAATGAGTACAAATATATGGTTTGATAGAATAAATAAGACCTAGTGTTTGATGGGTCAGCAGGGTAACTATAGTTTACAATAAGGTATTGCACAAATTCTTGTCTTCTAGTTATTTGTCATCTAACAGTATTGTAAACTATAAAATGGTTTTAGCATAAAGAAAAGAAAAATATTTAAGGTGATACATATATCAAGTATACTGATTTGATCACTGTAAATTATATGAATGTATTAAATTATTACATGTACTCCAAAACTAGGTACATCTATTCAGTTAAAAATAGCAAAAGGACAAAAAAAGATATACTACGCACTCACTAATGAAAAGAACCTTGAAATGGATATATTGATATTGTTCAAAGTAGGCTTCACAGCAAAGAAAATTACCAGAATAAGAAGAAAATTACATAATAATATAAGGGGCATTTGATCAAGAAAATACAATAATTCTGAATGTATATGCATCAAACAGTGTTTGCAAATACATGAAGCCAAAACTAATAGAACTGAGGAAAAATAGACAAATTCACAATACAGTTGGAGCCTTCAGAACTTCTCCCTCAGTAATAAATAGAAGTAGACAGAAAAATAGCAAGGATATAGATGAAGTGAACATCACCATCAACCAACTGAAATGCTATAGAGCCTCACACCCCCAAACAGCACAATACACATTCTTTTAAACCACAGATGGAACATTCACCAGCACAGACCATATTCTGAATCAGAAAACTTAAATTTATAAGAATTGAAAGCATGCAAAGTATGATCTGACAATAATGAAATCGACATAGAGAAATGCTAGGTTCTGAGGATGTGAAAAGATACAGTCTATATTCCCAAGAAACGTGGAGTCTAACTGGAGACACATTTAACCATTAAATTCTGTACTACATGCCATATGCTGTACACAAAATACAACACAACATGGAAAGTGCTCTGATACAACAATAAATTTCTCTGATTGCACTGGTAGTGTCCAGGTAGGTTTCACAGAGGAAGTAATATCTAATCTAGACTTTCAGTAAAAAAAAAAAAAAAAAAAAAAAAAAAGATACTTTTATTTAAAATGAGATACCAAAGGAATTGTGAAGATGTTTTGATTTTTAAGTTGAAATTACATATAAACACAGAAAACACACACAGTAATTTCAAATATAGACTAACTTCCAAATCTCTTCAAAGATAGTTGTCATAAAAGAGAATAATAACTGAAAACAAGAGATGACTTTGAAAGTCCTGGTAAATATTTTTGGCAAAAAAGCAGCTTGGAAGGCAGGCCTCCCAGTGAGAAAGAAAGAACAATTTTATTCATTCAGTATCAAAATAATAAATTGTGTATTCCAAAAAAAAAAGAAAGATGAAGAAATGCAAGTAATAATAAAGGGAGCTACAGACATCTCATTGTTTTTGCATTTAATACTAGAAAGACATGTATCATAATTGGAGTTGACCTAAGTGAGGTGGCATAAACTGCTTAAATTTAGTACTAAAATCAAGCACAAAATGAAATTAATTGGGTATCTCTAATAATATGATTAATGGTTATTCTGCTTCATGGTAATTAGCCAGAAATATTAGCCATATGTATGAAGATTTATAACATTTCTTTTACCAAATAAAAGTATTTCTAAATCCAGTTAATAAAAGGAAAGGGGAGAGTAACAGAGCAGAAAGTTTATTTATATCCCTCCTAAAAACTCCGTTTTCAAAGCAGGTCTTTCAATTCCTTATCAGTAAGTATCCATAGGCCTGGACTTCTAGGATCATCATCACCATCACCACCAACTGTTATTATTAGCAGTTACAATCTAATGAACACTCTATTAGCCTGTGTGATGGTTAACACTGAGTGTCAACTTGATGGGATTGAGGGGTGCAAAGTATTGATCCTGGGTGTGTCTATGAGGGTGTTGCCAAAGGAGATTAACATTTGAGTCAGTGGGCTGGAAAAGGCAGATCCACCCTTAATCTGGGTGGGCACCATCTAATCAGTTGCCAGTGCAGCCAGGATATAAAGCAGGCAAAAAAAAACAGGAAAAGACCTCAGCCTACCTACATCTTTCTCCCATGCTGGAAGCTTCCTGCCCTTCGGACTCCAAGTTCTTCAGCTTTGGGACTCAGACTGGCTTCCTTGCTCCTTAGCTTGCAGGCAGACTATTGTGGGACCTTGTATCATGTGAGTTAATACTATTTGGTAAACTCCCCTTTATATATATACCCATCCTATTAGTTCTGTCCCTCTAGAGAACCCTGACTAATACAGTCTGCATGGGATGACATAATAAAATACCAAAGACTGGGTAGCTTAAATGACAAGATTTATTTTGTCACTGTTCTGCAGGCTGGAAGTCTGAGGTCAAGGTGCCAGAGTTGGTTTCTGGTGAGGCCTCTCTTCCTGGCTTGCAGATGGCTGCCTTCTTAGTGTGCCCTCCCAGTCCTTCCTCTGGGTTCACATGTATGTAGAGGGGGGAAGAGAGCAAAAGAGAGAGAGAGAGAGAGAGAGAGAGAGAGAGAGAGAGAGAGAAATCTATCTTTTCTCTTTTTATAACGACAGCAGTCATATCAGATTAGGCTCCATCCTTATAACCTCAATCAATCTTACTGCCTCCTTAAAGGCCCTACCTCCATATATAGTCAAATTGGGGGTTAATGCTTCAACATATGAATTGGGTGGGGTAGCACACAATTCAGTCCATAATAAACACCTACCACATGCCACATATTATACCAACTTTAGTATCTCAATGTGCTCCTGCATCAACCTTACTAGATACTAAGTAATCCACTTTGAAAATCAGTAAACAGCCATACAAAGAATTTAAATAACTAGTCATATGACAAGTAAAATAGAGAAAATATTGTAAAATATGTTTCAACTTCCAGGAAAAACTTGGTGGCAACTAAGTTATGAATTATTCCACTTCTCCAAAAAGCCATAGGGAAATAAGAATAATCAGAAAAAAAATGCACATTCAATGGTCGACAAAGGCAGAACACAGAATAAATACCTCCAAGCTACAAATTTTGTGTAAATGCTGCCTGTAGCAAAATTGTTACCGACATCTTGCAGAAAACTGAAATGAGATATGATAAAACTCAAGGTGAAGGAGGGGACAATGGGAGAATAGTGTGACAACTATCACCACATAAACATACCCAGGAGAGGACTATACTCTGAATGGGAACTGCTATGAGCAAGGCTGGGGAGCACACTTGGAGGCAGGGAAAGAGAGCTCAGAAGTGACCCAGGGCTAGTAGATAATAACATAATTTTAAAAATCGTCTATATGTAAGGGAGATTTTCCAGAAGGCATGATCTCTTCCTTGGTGATACAGGTAGATTAGAACCTGAAGAAGTTTAGGTATGGCAGTAGAATCTCCTCTGAGCCAAGATAGATTCAAAAAGTAGTAGAGAAAATGAAATAAAACCTAGCTCTGTCACTGTAACAGAGGTGACAGCCTTTGAGTTATAGAGGTGCCAGGTTACCCTGGTCTTTCCCCTTTCCCCAACGTGAGATTCTTGTAAACAGCTGGTTCATAAATATAAAATTAAATCAAGTGTGAGAAACAAAAAGAATAATCACTGCATCTACACAACAATTTTGTATTTTAAAAATGGGAAAAGAGTTTATCAGGGGAAAGCAAATCAAAACCATAATAAAATACCAACTCACTATAGTTAGAATGGTGATTATCAAAAAGACAACAGAAAACAAGTGTTGTGGAAGAATAGAGAAGAAGGAACACATAGACACCATTGATGGGATTATAAATTAGTAGAGCTGCTATGAAAAACAGTATAGGGGCTCCTGAAAAAATTAAAAACAGAACTCCCATATGATTCAGCAAACCCACTTATTGGTATATATCCAAAGGAAATGAAACCAGCATATTGAAGAGATATCCACACTCTTGTGTTTATTGCAGCACTATCTGTAATAACCAAGATTTGTAATCAACCCAAGTGTCCAATAACACATGAATCGATAAAGAAAATGTGGCATATATACAGAATGGAATACTATTCAGCCATAATAAAGAATGAAATCCTGTAATTTGTGACAACACGGATGGACCTGGAGGACATTATGTTAAGAGAAATAAGTTAGACACAGAAAGATAAATACCACATAATCTCACTCATATGCAGAATTTTAAAAATTCATTGATATCACAGAAGCAGATAGTAGAATGTTCACCAGAAACTGGAGAGAGGAGGGGAAAGGGGAGGATGGGAAGAGGATACTCAATGGGTACAAAGTTACAATTAGATAAGAGAAATAAATCCTGGTGTTCTACTTCATGTTCTCACTCCTGAGTGGGAGTTGAACAATGAAAACTCATGGACACAGGGAGGGAAACAATGCACACCAGGGCCTGTCAGCGGGTGGGAGTCAGGTGGGGGTAGGGAGAGCATAAGGATAAATAGCTAATGTATGCTGGGCTTAAAACCTAGGTGATGCGTTGATAGGTGCAGCAAACCACCATGGTACAAGATTACCTATGTAACAAGCCTGCATGTTCTGCACATAGTATCACAGAACTTAAAATAAGAATTTTAAAAAAATTCTGGTATTCTATTGCACAGTAGGGTAATTATGGTAATATTAAGGTATTGTATATTACAAAATAGCTAGAAGAGAGGCTTTTGAATGGCCTCACCGCAAAGAAATGATAAATGCGTGAAGCAATGGATACGCGAAATACCCTGATTCAATCATTATACAATATATATATAGTAAAACATAAAATTATACCCATAAATATATACAATTGCATGTCAATAAATAAATAAATAAATATTGGAAATAACAAAATAGTTTTATTTTAAAAATCAGCAATGTTGACACTGATCATATGAAAATTGTAAACCACTAAGCTTTGGACAAATATTGAAGAAAGAAAACCACAAAGCAGAAATACAAAAACTCAGGGAAGAGATGGCCAGAAAACAGTGGCTTATGATAGAACAATAAGTGTAGATGAATCAAGAACTTGAAAAACTCAAGGATTAAAAATAGAAAAAAGGCCAAAAAAAAAATTTCAGAAATCAAGACTAAATTTGATGAAAAATAAATATGAAAAAGCCTTTGACAAAATTCAAACTCATTCCCAATGAAAAATTCAAGACAGTAAAAAGCTATAAACACTTAGTAATACATGTGTATCTGTATATATATGTACATATGTACATATATTACATATATGTACATATATTACTGTGTGTATATATTTTATACTGTGTCTGTGTATGTTCCCATTCAGAGAACATTCAGAGACAATAAGAAGCTATGAATACTTAGTGTGTGGGCATATATATATATATATATATATACACACACACACACACACACACATACACACACATGCACACACACATATATACATATTACATATAACTTATCATCAGCATATAACATTGTTACATATGTGTATATATACATATACATATATATATCTCTCACAATCCTAAAGCAGCATTGGACCCAATGAGGAAACACCACAGGAACTCCAATTAAGTTCAGAAATAAGGCAAGGATGATTATCTCTACTACTTAGCATAATACTAGACACATAAGTCACTGCATTTAGAAAAGATAGAAGAGGCATAAAAATTACAGAAGATGAAATAAAATCATCTTTATATGCAGATAATATGGTGGTATACTTGGAAAATCCTACTAACTCAATAGAATTCATCAAAGTAGTAGGTTATGAAATTAACACTCAAATATCAGTAGAATTAGTATACACAAATAGCCATGAGGAGATAAAAATAAAAAGAAAATTACACTTACATAGCAACAGAAAACATAAAACACTTAGAATAAACTTCAAATGTTCAAAGCTATACAAAGAAAACTATAAAACACTGGTTAAAAACACATATGTAGTCTTAACTTATGGAACAACATGTTAACAAATGGAAAGATGACGGGGTTTTCTAGATATACAATCATGTCATCTGCAAACAGGGACAATTTGACTTCCAGACCAAAATATCCTTAAGCTGATAAGCAACTTCAGCAAAGTCTCAGGATACAAAATCAATATGCAAAAATCACAAGCACTCTTATACACCAATAATAGACAAACAGACAGCCAAATCGTGAGTGAACTCCCATTCATAATTGCTTCAAAGAGAATAAAATACCTAGGAATCCAACTTACAAGGGATGTGAAGGATCTCTTCAAGGAGAACTACAAACCACTGCTCAACGAAATAAAAGAGGATACAAACAAATGGAAGAACATTCCATGCTCATGGGTAGGAAGAATTAATATCGTGAAAATGGCCATACTGCCCAAGGTAATTTATAGATTCAATGCCATCCCCATCAAGTTACCAATGACTTTCTTCACAGAATTGGAAAAAAACTACTTTCAAGTTCATATGGAACCAAAAAAGAGCCTGCATCGCCAAGTCAATCCTAAGCCAAAAGAACAAAGCTGGAGGCATCACGCTACCTGACTTCAAACTATACTACAAGGCTACAGTAACCAAAACAGCATGGTACTGGTACCAAAACAGAGATATAGATCAATGGAACAGAACAGAGCCCTCAGAAATAATGCTGCATATCTACAACCATCTGATCTTTGACAAACCTGACAAAAACAAGAAATGGGGAAAGGATTCCCTATTTAATAAATGGTGCTGGGAAAACTGGCTAGCCATATGTAGAATGCTGAAACTGGATCCCTTCCTTACATCTTACACAAAAGTTAATTCAAGATGTACTAAAGACTTACATGTTAGACTGAAAACCATAAAAACCCTAGAAGAAAACCTAGGCAATACCATTCAGGAAACAGGCATGGGCAAGGACTTCATGTCTTTGCCCAAACACCAAAAGCAATGGCAACAAAAGCCAAAATTGACAAATGGGATCTAATTAAACTAAAGAGCTTCTGCACAGCAAAAGAAACTACCATCAGAGTGAACAGGCAACCTACAGAATGGGAGAAAATTTCTGCAATCTACTCATCTGACAAAGGGCTAATATCCAGAATCTACAATGAACTCAAACAAATTTACAAGAAAAAAACAAACAACCCCATCAAAAAGTGGGCAAAAGATATGAACAGACACTTCTCAAAAGAAGACATTTATGCAGCCAACAAACACATGAAAAAATGCTCATCATCACTGGCCATCAGAGAAATACAAATCAAAACCACAATGAGATACCATCTCACACCAGTTAGAATGGCAATCATTAAAAAGTCAGGAAACAACAGGTGCTAGAGAGGATGTGGAGAAATAGGAACACTTTTACACTGTTGGTGGGACTGTCAACTAGTTCAACCATTGTGGAAGTCAGTGTGGCGATTCCTCAGGATCTAGAACTAGAAATACCATTTGACCCAGCCATCCCATTACTGGGTATATACCCAAAGGATTATAAATCATGCCGCTATAAAGACACATGCACATGTATGTTTATTGTGGCACTATTCACAATAGCAAAGACTTGGAACCAAGCCAAATGTCCAACAATGATAGACTGGATTAAGAAAATGTGGCATATATATACCATGGAATACTATGCAGCCATAAAAAATGATGAGTTCATGTCCTTTGTAGGGACATGGATGAAGCTGGAAACCATTATTCTCAGAAAACTATCGCAAGGACAAAAAACCAAACACTGCATGTTCTCACTCATAGGTGGGAATTGAACAATGAGAACACATGGACACGGGAAGGGGAACATCACACACCAGGGCCTGTTGTGGGGTGGGGGGAGGGATAGCATTAGGAGATATACCTAATGTTAAATGACGAGTTAATGGGTGCAGCACACCAACATGGCACATGTATACATATGTAACCTGCACGTTGTGCACATGTACCCTAAAACTTAAAGTATAATTAAAAAAAAAAAAAAGGAAAAGAATGGGGCATATGGAGTAATAAACTAGTCTAGGTACTGGACTAATGTAGGAAAAAACATGAAATCGGGCCTACAAAAAGACTTTGTTTCTCATTAAATTTCGTAATATAAGAAAAAAAACAAAACAAATGGAAAGACATATTTTGTTCTTGGTTAGAACTTATCAATATCATCAAGATTTCATTTCTTGCTAACTTAATTTGCCATGTATTTATTTTCATATAAATTAATATATAATTTTATTTATGAAGTATTCAATTCCAATAAAAATACCAACAATTTTTTTTATAGAGCGAGGTAAGTTCATACTAAAGCTCACATAAAAAATAGACAAGAAGAGATAGTGAGCAAAACCTAAAATAGAATAGTTTTGAAGATGTTCTAGCCCCATAAGATATTAAAACATATTATAAAACCTTTGTAATTAAAACAATGCGGACTACTATACGAATAGAAAGACCAATGGAACAGAATAGAGAGTACAAAAGTAAACCATATGACTTATGGAAAATCTAATATATGACAAAGACAGTATCTCAAATCACTGGGGGCAGAAATGGACTTTATATTTAAGGGTGTTGGGACAACTGAAAAGTCATTTGGAAAAGATAAACTTAAATCCATTCCTCATGCCATAAATAAGAATAAGCTCCAAACGAATTAAAGGTCTAAATGGTTTTAAATTTTGTGAATACTAGATAAAAAAACAGGGGTAAATTCCTTTATAAAGTTAGGGTAGCAAAAGACTTTGCAATTATATCTTAAATTCCAGGCTGGGCATAGTGGTTTACACCTACAATCTCAGTGCTTTCGAACGTCAAGGCAGGAGGATAGCTTGAGGCCAGGAGTTTGGGACCAGCCTGGGCAATATCGTGAAACCCCCATCTCTGCAAAAAAAAAAAAAAAAAAAAAGTTAGTAACAATTAACCAGGCATAGTGGCACCTATGTATAGTCCTAGCTACTCAGGAGGCTGAGCAGGGGGATCCCTTGAGCCTAGGAGTTTGAGGTTACAGTGAGCTACGATTGTGCCATTGCACAGAGTGAGGCCCTGTCTCTTAAAAAAAAATTCCAGATGTAATTTTTTAAATTAACAAACTGAACTACACAAAATTTTTAAAAAGTATTTTTCATGGCAAGAAATGACAAGAAATTGGGAATATAAATAATTTGCCAGAAAAAAATTTACAACATATATGACAAATAAATATATAAAATATAAATATTCTAAATATAAAAAGATTTTAATAATTGAAAGAAAAACTCCAAAAAATCATAAAATGGGCAAAAGAATAGGAAATTCATAATGATATAAAGACCACTTAAAATATGAAAATATGAGCACATAAAAGGATATCATATCTCATCTATCAGACTGGCAAAATGTCAAAAGCTAAAATTCACTTTGTTGATGAAACTGCAGGGAAACAAGCACTCTCTTGCATTGCTGGTAGGAGTGTAAAACAGTACAACTTCTATGGAGGAGAATTTGGTACTTAACAAAACCACACATTCATTTATCTTTCATACCTAGCAATCCTACCTCTTGAATTTACCTTGAACGTACATTTCCAAGAATATGAAAATACATATGCACGAGATAGTTCTTTCTTGTAAAATATTAGAAACTACTTAAATGTTCAAACATAAGATATTGTTTGAATAAACTATTGTTTATATGCAGACAACAGAGTACTATGTGGCTGTAAATATTAATGAAGAAGATCTCTCTGGCCTGATATAAAATTATTTCTGGAATATAGTAAATAAAAAGAGCTACCTTTTGTGTGAGAAATAAAAAGAAATAAAAAAGCAAACACATCTGAATGTGTAAACAAAAAGAAAAGGGGCATTAACTAGAAAAAAATGAAATTGGGAGTAAGTGAAGGGGACAGGAGAGGGCATCATAATTTACTGAGGATAACTTTTTGTGTAGTTATGACTTTTGGAAGTATGTTAATGTTCTACATCTTCTATAAAAATAAATCACCAAGGAGTTGAGAAACAAACTATTAAAATATCTAATACTTAGAGCAAATTGAAACAAATGTACACAACTCTATTAGAAATGAATAACATAATCATCCTGGAGAGAAATTTTTTTAAAACACAATATTTAACTATAGCGCTTCAGTCTGTGGGTAGGGATGAAGGGGAGAAGAGCAAACTAAATTGGAATTTTGTGTAGGTATTTTTATAGTGGTATGCATAAAATAATTAGGAGATTATTTTATGTATAAGAGAGTAAATACTTTGATGTTGCTGGGAATCAATGTTATCTTTCCCTATGGAAGAAGTGAGATACAAACAGAATGGGGAAAGGCAAGAACACCTCTATGGCAATCAACTGAATTTGAGAGTATCAGTAAGAACTCATGATTTCTTTCTTTTTTTTTTCGCGGGGGGGTGAGGGGAAAATAGAGTCTCTCACTCTGTCACCCAGCTGGAGTGCAGTGGCGAGGTCTCGGCTCACTGAAACCTCTGCCTCCCAGGCAGAGGTATGTATGTAATGTCTTCAGAAGGACACAAAATCACTAATACAGTACTCCAACCAGAGAGCTTAACTTGAATGTAATCATAAAGAAACAACAGACTAAACAAAAATGAGGATTAGTCTATTGTTTTAAAAGAACCGGCATATTTCGAAATGTCAAAGTCATGAAAAACTAAGAAAAGCTAAGGAGCTATTTTAGATTAAAGGAGATTAAAAAGACATGACAACTAAATGTAACACATGATCCTGAACTGGAGGGAAAAAAAATGCTATAAGGAATTTTATTTGATCAATTGAAAAAATTAGAAAAATGAGAGATTAATGTATTGTTTCAGTGTCAAGTTTCCTGAGGGTGATAACCATACTATGTTAATATAAGAAAATGTCCTTGTTCACACTGAAGTAGTTACGAGTAAAGCAGTATGATTTGTGCAACTTACTCCCAAATGGTCCAGAAAAAAATGTATTTCAATCTGTATCTGTAAATGATGAATAGATATTATATAATAGATTAGACAGATTAGATTTGATAGAGCAAACAGTAAAGTAAATTGGATAAGATGTTGGAAAATCTGGATGAAGGATATATGGGAGCTTTTGTACCCTTCTTGAAATTTTTCAGTAAGTTTGAAATTATTTCCAAATAAAAACATTAACAATGAGTACACAAGGACATAAAGTTGGAGAAAAAAGACTCTGGGGACTCCAAAATGTAGTGCAAGAGGATTGAAAAACTATCTATTGGGTACAATGTTCAATATGTGGGTGATGGGTACACTAGAAGCCCAATCCTTACCGCTATGCAATATACCTATGTAATGAATAAACACATGTGCCTCCCTGAATCTAAAAAAAAAAAGTTTTAAAAAATTAAATGAGAACAAATAAAATAGACACCCTGTGTAGTGGGTTGAATTATGTCTCCCTAAAAGATATGTTCAAATCCTAAGCTTTCATACCTGTGAATTTGACCTTATAAGGTCTTTGCAAATGTAATTAGTCAAGGATCTTGAGATGAAATCATACTGGATTAGGCTGAGCCCTATATCTAATGACTGGTACCCATATAAGAGAAGAGGACACAGAGAGACACACAGAGAAAAAGGCCATGTAAAAATGAAGGTAGAAATGGGATATATGCAGATAAAAGTCAAAGAATGCCAAGGATTTCTGAGAATCACTAGAAGCTACGAAGAAGCAAAAATGGATTCGTCCCTAGAACCTTCAGATAGAGCATGACCTTGCCAACACTTTGATTTTGAACTTCTAGTCTCTAGCACTATCGGAGAATATATTTCTGTTGTTTTAAGCCATCAAACTTGTGGTAATTTGTTACGTAAATTGTGGGAAATTGACACATAAGTAATTATAGGAAATAAACAGCAAAAAGAAGAAAAAAGAAACAGAAATAAAGAAAACTTTAAAAATAGAAAGAAAATAGACATATAACACAGGCGGAAGAGACCTAATAATTTCATAAATGTAGTCTCCAAAAAAGAAAATAACAATGGAAAACGATGAATATTTTAAGCTATCATTTAAAAAGGAAATACTTTCCTATAATAAAACAATTTAATCTACATATTGAAACAGCACATCAAAATCATATCACAATCTGATTCAGAAGAGTCAACAATAATATTTATCTTAGAAAGTCTATTAAACTTCAGTGATGAAGAAAGGCTCCTTAAGAAACTTGTAATGGAAAGAAAAACACAATGGCATGAGTCTTCTCCACATTCAGGAAACAGAGGAGCAACACCTACAAGATACACAACAAAAGAAAGTCCCCAGATTTCATACACAGTCAAGCACTTCTGCAAGTATAAAGACAGAAGACCAAGAACTTTGAACATGTAAGAACTTAGTGAGGATTTTTCACCTTTTGAAAAATACTAAAGAAACCACATTTGGTGATGAAATCTACAGCAGTTGGCATTAGATATTTTAACCAAAGAAAACCTAAAATTAAAACCAACATTGGAATAAGAATCACTGCATAGAATATTATAAGTGGAAAGAGAATGGGAAGAAATGTGAAAAATAGAAAATGCTCTATGATTGACCTGTTTGTATAAGTAGGAAAGGAAGAATATTAAGATAAAGCTGAGAACAAATAAATGTAGAAGCATATTAAAAAATACAATGGGAAGCACTAGTAAAGGTAACATGATTAAATTGATTTAAGGAAGAAAGAGGAGGAAGAAAAACATACAACCATCTTTAAGTGATACATTATTTGAATACTAAAATTAAAATTAAGTCATCTTTTTTTTTTTTTTTTAAATGGAGTCTCGCTCTGTCACCCAGGCTAGAGTGTAATGGCGCGACCTTGGCTCATTGCAACCTCCACCTCCTGGGTTCAAGGCATTCTCCTGCCTCAGCTTCCCAAGTAGCTGGGACTACAGGCATGTGCCACCATGCCTGGCTAATTTTTGTATTTTTAGTAGAAACAGGGTTTCACCATGTTGGCCAGGCTGGTCTCGAACTCCTGACCTCAAGTGATCCGCCCGCCTCGGCCTCCCAAAGTGCTGGGATTACAGGAATGAGCCACCATGCCTGGCCAAGTCTTCTTAATAACTAGTTTTCATCACCATTTCTTCATGTACACTAAGGTTAAGGCCTAAAGAAAACATCTGCGGTTATTTCTGTGATTACAGGAGTTTTAATTCTTAAAATTTTTTTATTATCAAAAACTTATTTCAAAGCCTATACCATGTCAAACTTTGTTTTTGTAATTACAGTTTTTACCAATAAACTGTTTCTCTCATTCTTTCACAAATAATGATCAAGACTTTAGGAAGAGAGACATATGGTGTAGAATGAAAATTGGCAGTCAACTGAAGATAACCATCTAGGAAACTAGAGTTGAAGACCACCTTAATGTGGAATAGCAACAAAAATGCATGAACCAGATTGAGAATTAGCAACATAGAAAGAGAATGTCAGAGAAAAGAAAGGGAAGTAGATTCTCCTGTGGCAATAAAATATAAATCACTATGCGAGCTTCAGACCCTTCCTTCTCTTTTATTCCTGTTTACTGGAATTGTTCTATACAGGTAGCTATTTAAGATGAGAACTACTACCATGTTTTATATTTTCTAAATTTAACTATGCTGTTATATTGTGCTTTCACAATAACTGGTATTGTAAAAAGATAATGGCTTTTGCTAAGCCAAAATTTTCTAATTTTCAATGAATTGAGTAGTTTTTAGTTTAAGTCAGAATAATGAAAAAATGAAGGCTTTTTGTAAGGAATGAGTTTGGCTGACAACTGAAAAAGGCCTGCAGCTCCAGAAATGGTCTGGTGATAGGGGGATTTTTTTTTTTTTGCACTTAATCGTGCATCTTATATTTTCCTTAACGTATGATTTTCCATTTGTATGTATACACTCCTTTTCTTTTTATTGGGAATCCAATGTCCTTCTCAATAGTAATAGTTCTTATATGTAGTATAACTGTAAAAGTAAGAGAAAGCCTTTTTTGTCTCACGTTATAGTTTTAAACTTAAAATTATCATTTTATTTTAAACTCGACTATAAAATTACTATTGATCTTGTTAACCTCATGAGAAAGTATTATTTCTGGTGTTTAAGCTTGTAAAGATACCACTATTTTACATAGCATTTGTTCCTTTTTTATCAAAATTATCATAACAGTATTATATTCCTTTCCTTCCTCCTAGACAAATTAGGGAATGAAAGATTTTTGTCTGCCTTTTTGAATAAACTGTAGGAAAAAGACAGAAAAGAAAAAAGATTGTTGGAAAAGCTGTCTTCCCTCTATTAATGAGTAAAGGTTTTTCTCTTTTCAAAAATTTTAAGTTATGATTTTGACTAAATGAATGACTTACGGTAACCTGGAATTCTATTTTATAATATCAAGTGTCTTAAATCTTTGATATTTTACAAACTTTCCAAAATCAAATTATAAAGTATGTGATTTTCTGACCTAATTAATTTTTTAGGTATTAGGTCACCTAAACTCCAAAAGTGACATTTGGCTTATTTGGTATAAAAATCATACAGAAAGCATTGTCAAATATGAAACGGTGTTTGGCTTTCTTTGGGTTGTATTTGTAAAAATGTGTTAGTGGTATGTGTTCCAAAATTATGAGAAACTCCTATAATTCTCATATGACTTAGTATGTTATTAATAATTACAATTGTTATGTAAAACTGTTGTATGCCACAGAAGTAATCAAAATTCCCAGTCAATTGTGGCTTTAATAGTGGCTGTACTAAAACTTTTTATCATACACAGATAATTGTTGTCTTGTTTTAATCCTCTTTAAAAGGTGGTTTATAATCAACTACAGGACTCTAACAGGTGTTCTTGAATGCAGGTTTCTAATAACTTTGGAGACTGTGTGACATTAGGATAGAGAAAAAAAACTTTCAGGAGTCAGGGAGAGCTGAAATGTCCCTGACTACCAAGCAGGACAGGAGTTAACTGTATGGAATGAAGTAACAGAAGACTGAATTAATTTATGTGACATTTTGCTTAAAATGTTGTTGATCCTTTGCTTTGTTTTTCAGAGTCAAGGAAGCTTTTTTTAAAAGCTATTTACAACTTTTAACACTTGAGTAAAGTATATTCCTGTGAACAAAATTTGGACCATACTTGTTTCTCTCTACCTGATTTCTCCATAATTTAGAAACTATTTGTAAGTATTATTGACTTATGGCAATATAGTTATTTCCATAAGTACAATAAATCTGTTTTCATTTGTAACAGGACACAGTTGGAGACAATGGTTATTTTACCAAGGCTTTGACTTGAATGTTATGCTTTTCTTTGAGAAATAAAACTTGACTTACAGAGCCAATAAAAGCCCCTTGGGAAAACTGGCTTCATACCTTGTCTACCCTGTCCCTGTGCAAGGTTCCTGAACTGTGGTAAGTAAAGAATGTCACTTTCTGACAGACCCAGGAGCCCCAAGTTATCTTTGGACCTCAAGAGGAGAGGAATTTACCCAACTCATAGGTAGTGGAGGGTACAAACCCACGGCTGAGCTCAGCTTTAAGAAAAGGTCTTATCTGAAATTCCTTATGGAAGAGAGTTCCATCAAAGCCAATTTTACAAGCCTTGTGAAAAATAATTATTCTTGCTGCACTTTATACAAATAAAGCATAATAAAGCAAATTCGACTACCATCATTTGTCTTTAGTAAAAATGGAAGACGAGAGAGAGAAAAAAATTATGTTTCAAGAACTATGGTATACTTATTATTATATTCTAGTCTTATCAGTTGTTTTTTTTTTTTTCCTGCAATTTAGGCTGACCTTGCTTATTACCATGAACCAGCCAGTGATCTCTGACTGCAGCTCAGGAAAAACAAGAAGGATGGGTAATGTATAAATATGAATCAATATCCTAATTCTGGGCACACATTAGAATCAGCTATCAACCCCATATCAGCTTGGTTCCACCAGTTGCCCAGTTCATGGAAAGCCTTCTTATTTAGTTTACTTGGGATAATTTCACTTATTTTGTTTTACTGTTGTGAAATATATTGCTGTTGTACTCTTTGTGTAGGAATGCAGGATAAGCTTACTGAATGTTTTCTTAAATTAAACACTTATTCATCTTCCAAAAGTCACCTTTTGTCAGAACTCAGAGTTATGAATGGCCTCTCCTCTCTACACTGAAATTCAAAAGACCCTAATACTTAGGCAGGAATATCATCGCCCCTATTCAGCATGAAGAAGTTACAGAAAGTGGATCTTTATACTTCTGCAACCCTTAGGATTAAGGGTTCTCTTATAAAAGAGAGGGGGGATATGTCAGAGGCATTTGAACCAGAGTGACTCTATCTTGAATAGGGACTGGGTAAAATAAGGCTGAGATCTACTGGGCTACATTTCCAGGCAGTTAGTCATTGTAAGTCACAGAAAGAGACAGGAGGTCAGCACAGATATAGTTCACAAAGACCTTGCTGATAAAACAGTTTGCAGTAAAGAAACTGGCCAAAACCCACCTAAACCAAGATGGTGACAAGAGTGACCTGTGGTCATCCTCTCTGCTCATTATTCACTAATTATAATGCATTAGCATGTTAAAAGACACTCCCACCAGTGCCATGACAGTTTACAGATGCCATGGCAACATCCAGAAGTTACCCTATATGGTCTAAAAAGGGGAGGAACCCTCAGCTCCAGGAATTACCCACCCCTTTTCTAGAAAACTCATGAATAATCCACCCCTTGTTTAGCATATAATCAAGAAATAACCATAAAAACAGGCAACCAGCAGCCCTTGGGGGCTGATCTGCCTATGGAATAGCTATTCTTTTATTCCTTTACTCTCTTAACAAACTTGCTTCACCTTAAAAAATATATATATGTTAAGATAAACAGCTGGTATTTATGACTCCTGCTTCAAAAGATTTGATTGTGGAATGTAGTAGAGGAATTACCTTCCAGTTCTTGACCTTCATACTCCTGCCCAGTATCATGATACCTTTCCTCTAAATTGCACAAAATGTATCATTCATATTAACCATATAAACTACAGATTATGGCAGATTTTTATCTATAGTACTTACATTTGCCAATCTTTCCTTATCCTAAAATATTCTATGTAAACTTTTTTTTTTTTTTTTTTTGAGATGGAGTCTTGCTCTGTCGCCCAGGCTGGAGTGCAGTGGCACGATCTCGGCCCACTGCAAGCTCCGTTTCCTGGGTTCGCGCCGTTCTCCTGCCTCAGCCTCCCGAGTAGCTGGGACTACAGGTGCCCGCCACCACACCCGGCTAATTTTTTGTACATTTAGTAGAGACGGGGTTTCACCGTGTTAGCCAGGATAGTCTGGATCTCCTGACCTCGTGATCCGCCCGCCTTGGCCTCCCAAAGTGCTGGGATTGCAGGTGTGAGCCACCGTGCCCAGCCTATAAACTTTTAATGGTAATATAAAAAAAATCCCTAAAAGCTATATTACATTAAAGAGAAAAAACTAGACAACAAAATTAAAAATTAAAAGTATTTCCAAACTGCAATACAAGCCAGGTCTAGTTAAGTGTATATAGTCCCATGGACACAAAAGTGTAACAAATGAAACTATGCGTAAACTCTGAACAACTATATGCTAAACTGTAGAACCAAAGAAATGAGAGCCATAGCCATCAGCAATTAGTGCATAAGGTTGAAGACTAATTCAAGGCATCTAAAGGGATATTTGGAGTAGATAGTTATTGTGAAATATCATGTAAAATAGAATTGCCAATATATATGTACATATGCATGTATAAAAAATAATCAGGATAAATATATGAAAAGATTACATTTATAAAAATAAGTGGGCTATTAAATTCATTCATACATTAGTGTGAATTTCTTTCTCAGTTTAGATTAAGTATCACTTAGGACTCTGAGGGAAATAAGATCTTGGTATAATGTCAGACACTATTTGTTGAATTCCCAACAGCCATCTCCCTACTCTTACTTCTTTCTAACTAAACCCCAGTTGTGTTCACATATTGATAGCAAAGGACGCAGAGCAGTGGACACAGCTGCAGGAGATGAACCATGGTTAGTCTAATCAAATTCTTGTTTGAGTAACTTGTTTAGTGGTGGACAGATGACTCAGTTCTAGCCAATATGTTTTGATAGGATGTCTATGGAGTGGGCTTCTGGGTAAGAATTTTTCCCCCTGATTTGAAAAAATAATGCCAAGAGAAATTTTCCTTATTCCTAATTCTGTATGAGGTTATGTGAGGCTCTGATGCCTGCAGCTTTAGTAGCCATCTTTGGATGCTGAGGTTAGCTCACTGAAAAGGCAGGGAGTCTGGGACTGTGAGACTATTACTGAGCCAATGATTAACCAACCCTACAACTACTTTCCTCCAGACTTCTTGTTATGAGGGATAATAAACATCTATTATATAACTCACTTTTTGTTGAGTATCCTGTTACTTCAGGCAAAATATATACTATCTGACATGGGTATAAAAATCAGGTATACTTTGCAGGTTATTCAGTACATCTGTGGAAGGGCCTTAGTAACCCAGTGGTTGTACTGGGGCAGTGAATTCAGAAACCGAGGGAGCACCAGGAAGGTCAGAGAAGTGACCTTTGTATACTCCTTCTCTTGTAGTATCCATCAAGTCCCAAGTTACACCTGCAATTAGCCCTATGTAAATATAGAAGAAATGCCTCAAGCTAGAACCACAGATATCAAATCCTATTTCTCAAACTTGTATAGACAATAAAAATTTCCAACTAACCAAGTCATAGGTCTGGGTGGCCCAATATGCCCTACTGAATGTGTTTGTATTTCTGGGTCCTCAGAGCAACTAAATGTTTCTACATTATTTCAAGAACCTTGTCAACTATCCAACACTTGGTACTGTAAAAAATAAAGAAACACAATATTTAAAATAAAAATCACACTAGATTTGATATCAGAAGCCCTAGTAGTGAGTTCTGGCTCTCCTAACAACTATCTCTAAGACAGCAAGCTTCAATTTCCTCATCTGCAAAATGGAGATAATAATACATATGTCGTGAAGTTTTATGAACATTATATATGACAGTGCAGAAACTGCAGTACAACTTGGAAAATAACATACAAAGCAAGCTGTTTAATGACATAGTATAGGCAGGTGTTTGTAAAAATGAATTAATGATTCCTTAGTTCTCTATAAAAACTGAAAAGTAAACGTGACAAAACTGAATCATCTTTTCAAGTTTAAGGAAGCTTCAGGACTTTCTTTGCATGCTATGCTCACTGTCATAGTGGAGAGCCAACACCAAAAAGCAGCTTGTGCCAAAATACATTTATCTGTGAAAACTATACCTATCATTGTATTCTTTTATTTTATTCTATTAATATGAAAATATACCATGTAGGCTGGGCACAGTGGCTCATACCTGTAATCCCAGCACTTTGAGAGGTCAAGGTGGGCGGATCACCTGAGCCTGACGTCAGGAGTTCAAGACCAGCCTGGCCAACATGGTGAAACCCCGTCTCTACTAAGAAAAAAAAAAATTAGCTGGGTATGGTGGCATGCGCCTGTAGTCCCAGCTACTCGGAAGGCTGAGGCACAAGAATCATTTGAACCTAGGAGGCGGAGGTTGCAGTAGGCTGAGATTGCACCACTGCACTCCAGTCTGGGCAACAGAGTGAGATTCCATCTCAAAAAAAGAAAGAAAATATATTATGTATACAGTGGAATTCATGATACCAAAATCAGATAAAGTCATTACAAGAAACGAAACCAACAGGCCAGTGTTCCTAATGAGTAGAAATTTTAAACTTCTAAACAAGCTTTTAACAAATCAAAATGCAATATATGAAAGTAATACATTATGATGAAGTGGGATTTAGCCAAAGAATACAAGGTTCATTTAACATTCAAAGCTCAAGTACTGTCATTCACCATATTAACCAATTAAAAAAGAAAAACTGTATGATTATCTCAATGGATGCTGAAATAACATTCGGCAAAAACCTACATTTACCCTTAATAAAATTTTCAGCAAACTCAGAATAGAAGGGAATTTCTTCAACCTGAGAAGGGGTATCTATGAAAAACCTGCAGCAAACATCATGTTTAATGTTAAAAGACTGAATGGTTTCTTCCTAAAATCAAAAAACTGGCAAGGATTCCCAACCTCATTACTCCAGCTAAAGATCAATTGTGTAAACACTAAGAATGCACAATATAGAAATTCAGTATAATTATAAAATGGTCTCCAAAATTCCTGCCCCCCGTTGTACAGTATTTGTATAATTGCCTCTCCTTGAATGTGGACTTGACTATCAATATGATCGGTGTCACTTCTGTGGATAATGTTACATTTACAGCAAAAGGAAATGTGAAGATGTAATTAAGATCCCAAATCAGGTCAGGTGAGGTGGCTCATGCCTGCATATCCCCGCACTTTGGGAAGCTGAGTGGGGAGGATCACTTGAACCCAGGAGTCTGGGAGCTGCCAGGGCAACACAGCAAGACTGACCCTATCTCCATAAAAAAAAATAAGAAATAAAAATTTGCCAAGCACAGTGGTACATGCCTATAGTCCTAGCTACTTGGGAGACTGAAGCAGGAAGATTGCTTGAGCCCAGGAGTTTGAGGTTGCAATGAGCTGAGATCATGCCACTGCACTCCATCCTGGGCAACAGAATGAGACTCTGCAAAAAAAAAAAAAAAAAAAAAAAAAAATCCCAGATCAGTTTTGATAATATGGGTATGGACATCATCTGGGAGGGTCTGACTTAATCAGGCAGAAACCCTTAAAAAGCATGAGTAAAATTGTTTCCTGCTGACCTCAAAGAAGATGAAAGTCACATGAGTTCTACAGCTGCCAGGAACTGAACACTGCCTGCCAGTCACCTGAATAAGTCTAGATGGGCACCCTAAGCCATAGATGACAACGCAGTGTTGGCTAATCCACTGATTGCAGCCATGTGAGCCCTAAGCAATGGATCCATCCAACCGATGCCCAGACTCCTGACCCATGGAAACTGTAAGATAATAACTGAGTGCTCTTTCAAGCTAGTAAGTTTGTGGTACTTCCTGACTCAGCAATGGAAAGCTAATATATACATCATCCAAAATACCAGCAAAAATATGAAATAATTGGAGAGAAATCTGACAAAAGATGTGAAAGACCTGTACACCGAAAGCTTGAAAACATTGCTGAGAGAAGGAGAGATATATTACCTGTATGGGTTGGAAGACTTAATTTTAGTGAGAAGCCAGTTCTCTCCAAATTCATCTATAATTTCAGCTCAATCCTAATCAACATTGCAGAAGGGTTTTTTTTGCAGATATTAACAAACTGTTTCTAACATTTACATGAAAATGCAAATGACCTAGACAAAACAATTTTGAAAAAGAAGAATAAAGTTGGAGCACTAGTACATTAAGTATCCGTGGGGGGAAGGGGGGCTCCACCCAGGAGGGAAGATGGTCTAGCCTTTAACTCTGTCCTACTGGGAAGGGAGCTAGGTGGCTGAGGGCTCTTCCATTTTGGCATTTCCATTTCTGGGGAGGGGGTTCAAAGTCACCAACACGCTGAGAGCTGTAGTTCAGAAACAGAAGTGGGGGGCCACTGTTACCACTCTGCTTAGAAACTTTATGGGTTGCCTCTCATGCAATCTGTAGCTTCAGAGCACACCTTCGATCCTGTCTCTTCCCTCAAACAGCTGTGGGCTGCCCCTCCTCACCCCCAGGGCTGGAAGGTTAGAGGAAGAATGCTATCATTTATACAGAGGGATTTAAAAAATAACAGCTTAAAAAATTACAGCTACATCAATCAAGAAAATGTATTGACATAAAAACTGTCCAATAATACAGTTAAATGGAATGGAGGGTACAGAAACAGATCTCCACATATTTGAATAACTAATTCTCAACAAAGGTGCAAAGGCAATTAGTGAAGGGGTATTCTTTTCAGCAAATGGCGCTGAAACAACTGGATATCCACATGCAAAAAAGTGAATTTTGATCTAGACCTTATACCATATTAAAAAGTAACTTTAAAATGTATCACAGATATAAATGTAAAACCTAAAACTATAAAGCCAAAAGAAAACATGACAGAAAACATTTATGACCTTGGGTTTAGCAAGGAATATTCAGTTATGACACCAAAAGCATAATTCATAAAAATGTAAATAAAGAGGCTTTATCAATATTAAAAACATCTGCTCTTCAAAAGATCCTGTTAAGAGAACTTAAAGACAAGCCACAGGCTAGAAAAAACTACTTTCAAATCCCATATATGACAATGGACTTCTAACAGAATTCATAAAGAACTCTGAAAATTCAACAATAACAAAACAATTCAATTTTTTAAAAAAAAGCAAACAAAAGATTTGAACAGACACAGACACACAGAAGAGGAATATATAAATATCACAAATAAGCACATGAAAACATGATCAACATCATTAGTCATTAATGAAATGCACATTGAAACCATAATGAGATACCACTATCTACTTGTTAGAATTGGTAAAATTAAAAATGCTGACTATATCAGTTGTTGTCCAGCTTTTGGAAGAATTAGAACTCTAATATACTGGGTGGAAATGTAAAATGATACAATCACTTTGGAAAATTGTTTGACGGTTAAATGTACATGTATTGTCTTGGTCCATTTGGGCTGCTATAACAAAATACCATGAACTAGGTAGCTTATAAACAGCAGAAACTTATTTCTCACAGTTCAGGAGGCTGGGAGTCCACAATAAAGGTGACAGATTCAATGTCTGGTGAAGACCTGCTTTGTAGCTCCTAGATGGCAACTTCTTATTGTGTACTCACATGGTAGAAGGGGCAGGGCAGTGCTCCATGACCTAATCACTCCCCAACACCTCCTCCTACTAAGACTATCACATTGGTGATTGGGTTTTGACACACAGATTTGGGGAGAACACAAACACTCATATCACAGCACCTACTAATTTATCCAGCCATTTCACTGCTAGGTATTTACCCAGAAAAAATGAAAACACATGTTCATACAAAGACTTGTACAACATTTTCATAGTAGCTCTATTTATAATACCAAAAAAATTGGAAACAACTCAGATATTTATCCACAGTTAAATGGATAAACAAACTATAGTATATAAATAAAAAGAATAAAAAGAATTAACTATTGATACATACTATAATTTAGCTGAATCTCAAAATAATTATGCTGAGTGAGAGAAACCAAATGAAAAAAAGATACACTATATTATATACAATTCTAAGAAATAAAACCTAATTTATTTGGCACCCAGATCTTCATTTCTATACCAGTTTCAAATAAAAAGTCTCAAACTTCCTTGGATAAATGGCTGATTCTACGACTGGGGCAGGAAATATACAAGATGAGTCTGATGAGTCTGTAGCATCTTGTAATACCAGAAAGTAGGAAAGTCCACACATACACACACATACACACAATACAGAGAGTGGGTCAAGGAGCACAAGAGTCAACTGAAAAAGCCCCCAGTGCCAAAAACTGGAAAAATTTGAGCAACAAAGTATTCATGAATCCATACAAAGAAAAGACTGAATAAAGAAGTAAATGGGGGAGAAGAAGCAAATCTTCCTCACAGAATTCCAAATAAATTATGTAGATACTCCACTCCAAAGGAGGGCTAGCATAACTCCCTACTCCCCCACACTTCCTTAAGTGACTCATAATGATTTCCTTCCAAAGAGTACAGAGTATGCAAAGAGGGAAAAAAGAGTAACTATGCAATGGAGAAACCTGACAAACACTACTTCAGCCAGGTGATGGAGAACAACATTAACAGTCATAAGTCATGTTGACAATATGTACCCTTCATATGATGTAATAAATACAGTACATTACCTCTTTGATTTCCACCCCGCCAAAACCCAAAACCCTAGTCTACTCATGAGGATACATCAAATCCCAATAGAAGGGCATCTTGCAATATACCTCACCAGTACTCCTAAGGACTGTCAAGGTCATCAAATACAAGGAAAATCTGAGAAACTCTCACAGCCAAGAGGAGCACAAGACATCATAACAATTAAATGTGGTGTCCTGGATGGAATCCTGGAAAGGAAAAAGGACATTAAGTGAAAATGAAGAAAATCTAAATAAACTATGAATATTAGTTAATAACAATTTATCAGTATTAGTTCATTAATTGTAACAAATGTACCCTATTAATTTAAAATGCTAACAGAGAAAATTGTACAAATGATATATGAGCATTCTCTATATTATCTGCTCAATTTTTCTGTAAATCCAAAATCGTTTCCCAAAAGTAAAATCTATTAATAAAACATCTAAAGCAAACAGACCTAAAAGGCATATGCAAATGTATAATTTAATGTTTAATAAATCAGATATAAATATTTTTAAAAACCTAATATTTGGTGACAGAAAGCAGATTAGTGGCTTGCCAGAAAGTGGTGATTAGTACTAGGGGAAGGGGATGGGACAGAACAGTATGAAGGGATTTAAAAAATGGCATGAGGAAACTTTTGGAGGCAAAGGGTATGTTTATCATTTTAGTTTCACAGGTCTAACAACAAATTATACAATTTAAATATATGCAGCTTATTATATGACAACTATATCTTGATAAAGTGGTTTTTTTCCCCAAACTATAGAAAAAATACTTCCACATTTAAATCCTCTTCTCCAAAAACAGTCTTCAGGAATATTTGAAGTTAGCCCCATCACACCTGAATTTAATCAGTGAATTTTGTTCATTCAAAGATTCATACATTTGGGAAGTTCCTGTGCCAAAAATGCTAATCACCCAGCATCAAAATTTATGGAATAATGGTGATTTAGGACATGCTGGACATCTTTATTGTTGTTTTCCCACTTCAAGATTTTCAATCTTTTGGAAACAACCTCCCCAGACATTCTGACAAGGGAATTATTATAACCAACCAAAATCAAGCCAAATATAGTTTGTCAGATTTAAAATGAGGCCAAGTGCCAATTTTACAGCAGCGACCGGAAAATCAAATTATATGGCATCTGACATTTAAAATCACACTCCTAAGAAGGCTGTCATTTGATGTCTTGGGTTTGGGTTACAGTACTTAACTTTATAATACTGGGTAACCTTGTGCCTCAGTTTTCCCAACTATGAAATTGGGATAACAGTACCTATTTTGTGAGACTGTTGAAGGATTACAGTTAACACAGGTAAAAGGCTTACAAGACTACCTGGCAATGCTGTCCTGATTTTACAAATTCTATACACTGTGTGGCATTAGCCATCAGGAAAATATAAATAAATCAGTGAGATACCACTTCACACACTTGGGGGGCTATAACAAAAAAGACAGATAAAAAATGTTGTCAAAGATGTGAAGAAACTAGGACCCTTATTCACTGCTGGTGGAAATGTAAGAAGTACAATCATTTGAACCATAGTCTGGCAGTTACTCCAAAGACCACACCTAGAGTTGCCATATGAACCAGCAATTCCACTCCTATGCATATATCCAGGAGAAAGGAAAATATACGCTGCACAAAAACTTGTACATGAATGTTCATTAGCAGGATTTTTCATGGTAGCCAAAAGGTGTAAACAACCCAAATGTCCAACAACTGATAGAGATGGATAAATAAAATGTGGTTTATCCATACAATGAAATATTATTTGTCAATAAAAAGGAGTGAAGGAGTGAAGTACTGATTCATGTGGAACATGGATGAACCTTGATCCAAAATAGCCAAATCACAGGTACAAAAAGCATATTAGTGGCTGCTGGGAGATTTAGGCGGAAATGTGGAATAACTGCTAGTGGGTATTGAGATTTTAGAGTCATACTCATGTTACAAAATTAATAGTGCTGATGGTTGCACAACTCTGAGTACATGAAAAATCAATGAACTGATACTTTGAGTGAGCTGTATGATACTGGAATTACACCTCAATAAAGCATGGTAACTGTTTTAAGATAGGCTGGAAAGAGAAAGCCTGAAAACAACAATAATGATATTAATAAATTAGTTTACTTCTCTAGTCTCATATACTTCTGTGCCCACACTTGCTCCTGTTCTATTCATAATGGTCCCCTTGCAGTTGCCATATTATATCCTGCCATTTGATGCCCGGTGAACATTCTATACCTGCTTCCCAGAATTCTCTTTACCTTTCCTCTATCTGCCTAACTTCCACATATCTAAAATTAATCAGAGTAAACTATTTACTAGAACAACCAACTCCAAATCCTAGTAACCTAACATGATAAAGGTTTGTTTCTCACTCATATAGCCCCTCCCCAGATGATCGAGGGGTCCAGGCTCCTTACCTCTAGTGGCTCCCCCACCTTCTGGAGTCTTCTGCATTCTTTATACATGGTTGAGATAAACTATGAGTCATTAGCACAGCTAGACCTTGAGGTCCTACAAGAAAATTTGCAAATCATTCACTCTGTTTTGAACAAGGTATATTTAAGATGATGTTAAAATACCCAATGGTCTTGGGTCAAATACAGTTTATGACTGTGTATCTAAAATATATATTGCAATATTCTTCCCTTTTTCTACTGACTTCATGAATTTAGCGGGGATCCATTTTATAAGCTCAAAGATAATTACTTTTCAGACTAAGAATATTTAGGGTAAAAAGTACTGTTCAACATCTCTACTGAGGATGTTATGATGTAGCACACTGTATAAGCTGGAGCTAAAGGAAACTTTCCTTAAAGTGCTATTTACTAAAAATTGGAACACATTCCTTAAGACAAATCGAAGTGTGGCACACAACATCCAAACTTCCATCATAGATACAGAGGTGTTACCATCTCCCACTCCCAAATTTCTTTGTCACGCTGAGGATACTCAAGAGGAGCAGGACATGTTGGTCGCAGCAGGAGAAACTTGAAAGCATTCACTTTTATGGAACTCATAAGGGAGAGAATCTCTTATTTAGTATCGTCCTTGATACATTTATTATTTTAAAAGATAATGTAGCCAAATGTCTTCCTCTGTGTTAAATCTTTACAAAACTGAAATCTTAAAATGGTGACAAAAATTCTACTTCTGATAGAATCTATTCATTTTTCCAATTAGATAGGGCATAATTCTTAATTTGCAAAACAAAACGTAATATGCTTATGAGGTTCCATCCCAAAGAACCTGCTATTGAGAGTAGCATTCAGAATAACGGGTGGAAATGCCAACTCCAGAGTTTCAGATCCTACCGGTAATTGGGGTAGGGAGGGGCTTTGGGCGGGGCCTCCCTAGAGGAGGAGGCGTTGTTAGAAAGCTGTCTGGCCAGTCCACAGCTGTCACTAATCGGGGTAAGCCTTGTTGTATTTGTGCGTGTGGGTGGCATTCTCAATGAGAACTAGCTTCACTTGTCATTTGAGTGAAATCTACAACCCGAGGCGGCTAGTGCTCCCGCACTACTGGGATCTGAGATCTTCGGAGATGACTGTCGCCCGCAGTACGGAGCCAGCAGAAGTCCGACCCTTCCTGGGAATGGGCTGTACCGAGAGGTCCGACTAGCCCCAGGGTTTTAGTGAGGGGGCAGTGGAACTCAGCGAGGGACTGAGAGCTTCACAGCATGCACGAGTTTGATGCCAGAGAAAAAGTCGGGAGATAAAGGAGCCGCGTGTCACTAAATTGCCGTCGCAGCCGCAGCCACTCAAGTGCCGGACTTGTGAGTACTCTGCGTCTCCAGTCCTCGGACAGAAGTTGGAGAACTCTCTTGGAGAACTCCCCGAGTTAGGAGACGAGATCTCCTAACAATTACTACTTTTTCTTGCGCTCCCCACTTGCCGCTCGCTGGGACAAACGACAGCCACAGTTCCCCTGACGACAGGATGGAGGCCAAGGGCAGGAGCTGACCAGCGCCGCCCTCCCCCGCCCCCGACCCAGGAGGTGGAGATCCCTCCGGTCCAGCCACATTCAACACCCACTTTCTCCTCCCTCTGCCCCTATATTCCCGAAACCCCCTCCTCCTTCCCTTTTCCCTCCTCCTGGAGACGGGGGAGGAGAAAAGGGGAGTCCAGTCGTCATGACTGAGCTGAAGGCAAAGGGTCCCCGGGCTCCCCACGTGGCGGGCGGCCCGCCCTCCCCCGAGGTCGGATCCCCACTGCTGTGTCGCCCAGCCGCAGGTCCGTTCCCGGGGAGCCAGACCTCGGACACCTTGCCTGAAGTTTCGGCCATACCTATCTCCCTGGACGGGCTACTCTTCCCTCGGCCCTGCCAGGGACAGGACCCCTCCGACGAAAAGACGCAGGACCAGCAGTCGCTGTCGGACGTGGAGGGCGCATATTCCAGAGCTGAAGCTACAAGGGGTGCTGGAGGCAGCAGTTCTAGTCCCCCAGAAAAGGACAGCGGACTGCTGGACAGTGTCTTGGACACTCTGTTGGCGCCCTCAGGTCCCGGGCAGAGCCAACCCAGCCCTCCCGCCTGCGAGGTCACCAGCTCTTGGTGCCTGTTTGGCCCCGAACTTCCCGAAGATCCACCGGCTGCCCCCGCCACCCAGCGGGTGTTGTCCCCGCTCATGAGCCGGTCCGGGTGCAAGGTTGGAGACAGCTCCGGGACGGCAGCTGCCCATAAAGTGCTGCCCCGGGGCCTGTCACCAGCCCGGCAGCTGCTGCTCCCGGCCTCTGAGAGCCCTCACTGGTCCGGGGCCCCAGTGAAGCCGTCTCCGCAGGCCGCTGCGGTGGAGGTTGAGGAGGAGGATGGCTCTGAGTCCGAGGAGTCTGCGGGTCCGCTTCTGAAGGGCAAACCTCGGGCTCTGGGTGGCGCGGCGGCTGGAGGAGGAGCCGCGGCTGTCCCGCCGGGGGCGGCAGCAGGAGGCGTCGCCCTGGTCCCCAAGGAAGATTCCCGCTTCTCAGCGCCCAGGGTCGCCCTGGTGGAGCAGGACGCGCCGATGGCGCCCGGGCGCTCCCCGCTGGCCACCACGGTGATGGATTTCATCCACGTGCCTATCCTGCCTCTCAATCACGCCTTATTGGCAGCCCGCACTCGGCAGCTGCTGGAAGACGAAAGTTACGACGGCGGGGCCGGGGCTGCCAGCGCCTTTGCCCCGCCGCGGAGTTCACCCTGTGCCTCGTCCACCCCGGTCGCTGTAGGCGACTTCCCCGACTGCGCGTACCCGCCCGACGCCGAGCCCAAGGACGACGCGTACCCTCTCTATAGCGACTTCCAGCCGCCCGCTCTAAAGATAAAGGAGGAGGAGGAAGGCGCGGAGGCCTCCGCGCGCTCCCCGCGTTCCTACCTTGTGGCCGGTGCCAACCCCGCAGCCTTCCCGGATTTCCCGTTGGGGCCACCGCCCCCGCTGCCGCCGCGAGCGACCCCATCCAGACCCGGGGAAGCGGCGGTGACGGCCGCACCCGCCAGTGCCTCAGTCTCGTCTGCGTCCTCCTCGGGGTCGACCCTGGAGTGCATCCTGTACAAAGCGGAGGGCGCGCCGCCCCAGCAGGGCCCGTTCGCGCCGCCGCCCTGCAAGGCGCCGGGCGCGAGCGGCTGCCTGCTCCCGCGGGACGGCCTGCCCTCCACCTCCGCCTCTGCCGCCGCCGCCGGGGCGGCCCCCGCGCTCTACCCTGCACTCGGCCTCAACGGGCTCCCGCAGCTCGGCTACCAGGCCGCCGTGCTCAAGGAGGGCCTGCCGCAGGTCTACCCGCCCTATCTCAACTACCTGAGGTGAGGGCCCGGGACGGGGCACGCCCAGCGCGTCCGGGAGTAGCGGTTCCGTTGGCGGCGGCGGCCGCCAACCCTCAGCCCCAGCCCCAGCGCACCGCTGCGCTCCCCGGGGCGGCCGGAGAGGGTGGGCAGCGGGACACAGCACAGGGGCAGTTGCCTCCCTTCTTCTTCCCTCCTCTCCTCACTCTTGGGGACACGAAGGTGGGCGCAGAATATACTATTTTTGGGGCGTGCCTCCCTGAAAGCTGTTTTTTTGTTTGTTTTTTAACTTTCCGAATCTTCCAGATTCCGAAGCAGAACCAACCCCGATTTAAAACGTGCAGCGTCACACTAGGTCCGCTGTAGCCCAGTGGGGCAGAAAGTGCGCGGCGAGTTGGGGGCTTTATGAAATGCTTCTTTCTTAGAAGAAGGACGTTTACCAGGAGTGCTTGTCTTGGAGAGGAGTTAAGGCACCGTTCCCCCGGGAGGGGTGGGACTTGAGAGGTGGCCGGCCAGAACCGAAAGCAGCACCATCTTAGGGATTTGAACACTTCAGTGGCTCAGTTTTCTTAAGAATCTCAAGATTAAAATTAAGTTCACGTGGGAAATGTTTAAACTGTGGATTTAAACGCCTGTCACTGCATTGCACCGTTTTCTTATTATTGCTTGCTATTCACTACAATTTTTTTTATATACAGGTTTAAAAAACACTACTTTGCATACTGAAGTAATGGAATGTAAAAAAAGAATGCTCTGTTTGGAATCTTATGTTGTGAATAGGCAAAACAGTGTCAGTGTATTGGACAATACTTTAAAATGACAAACATATACTTGCTTAAGTAAGCAATGATTACAGGGTTGTGTTTTAAAAACTCAAAACCAAAACATTGCAAAGTACCATCGAACTTTTAAAGCCAAACCATATTTGTTTTGACCCAGCATACAGACAGGAAGGACATAACATTTCATTTGTCAAAGACTAAATTGTTTCTATATAAAGAGTTTTGTAGAAAGATTTCCTTTTAACCGACTTTAACTTTCTAGGACATAATATTATACACTAATTATTGTTCTTTTATATTGGTGCTACTGATGAATGGCTAATCATTTGCAAGTATGGTGAATCCAGTTACGGATAGTCTATTACCAAGTTTAGTTTGCATGTCTTTCAAGTGTATATATACAGTTCTGTTTTTAAAATCTCCTTTCACCCTGTTAATACTGGTTTAAGAAACCTTTAGTATTAGATAGTGGTGCACTTAAAAATAAATGGAGTACTTTGTTTTGCATTTCAAGGCCGGATTCAGAAGCCAGCCAGAGCCCACAATACAGCTTCGAGTCATTACCTCAGAAGATTTGTTTAATCTGTGGGGATGAAGCATCAGGCTGTCATTATGGTGTCCTTACCTGTGGGAGCTGTAAGGTCTTCTTTAAGAGGGCAATGGAAGGTAGGCTCCTTTCCCCTGATCCTTTATTATTGGTTTAATTGTAAATGGAGACCATCTAATATTGTATAGATTTCAATTATTCCTTGTTTCTTATAAGAAATGGTGATATTTCCATATAATTTAAAATATATGATGACATTTTAACAATATGTTTTTATTTATGATACTCAAAATGGAATGTGGTTGGGTACTATAATTGCATACTCTTTGACTAACACTTTCAGTATTAGACATAAGTCATAAAAATCTTGAGGACAGTGCTACTATTGTTCCTTAACTGCTTAGCTTTGAGGAAACAGCTTTGTTCTAATAGTACTTTTATATATCTATTATGTAGGTATATGTGTATGCAGTACTTTAAAATTTTGATTAAAAGAAAAATGGTAGTTGACACATATGTACATGTATGCGTATACATATTTGTACATACACGAACATATATCACAACATGTATATGATGCAGTTTTCTACATGATACTGTCTTTTGACTACATGAATATTTATGTAATATTTACAAAGAAGTAATTCTAAACAAATTTTTGAATTCTCTTTTTGTTCAGTATATTTTTGTAAGTGTATAAGAGGACAGGATTAAACAGTTTAAAATAAAAAACCTGGACATCACAGTAACATAATTTCTAAAGAAGTATTTTGCTTTAAGTAAAACTTTCATGTTTTTAAACTCATTGAACTTACATGCTTAATGATTTCAGATTTACTTGCATAGTGTTTCAGATTTTAACTTTCAAAGAAAATATTTTTGAATTTCTTTCTACCTAAAGTCTAAGCAGCCAAACATCTTTACATTTGAAGATAAAAATACATTGAAAGATTTCATATTTTAATACCAGCAATAAATGTATTCTATAACTATGTAAAATGAAGCTTAGGATTCCCTCTGGAGTGCTGAGATCACACCTAGACAAGGAACCAAGGATCTGAATGTTGGCTTTTTGTTTCCTGTTCTGAGGATTTTTGTTTGTTTGTTTGTTTCAACAGCCCTCTCCTTACAAGCAGAAAAGCAGGTAGTAGGAAATTTCACTTTAAGGGAGCTTTCAAAGGAGTTCTTCATAACAAATATTTGCTTTGTATATTTTTAGAACATGATTTTTTCTCACAAAAGATGAATGTATTTTACTGATGTTGAACATATTCAGCTTTAGGGGGTTTGATTGCATTTTAAACTAATTGAGGCAGTGTTAAAAGTGGTACTTGAGAAAATAGGGCAACTGATAGTGGCTCTTACCCATTGACATTATTTATTTACAGTTACAGTTGGAAGTTCTTTGTGTGGAAAAGTCAGTTTTCCAATGGGTAATTGGAGTTACCATTTTTATCTGACTTTGGTTCTGGTTTCTTAAACATTGCCTTCTGCATTAATATGATTTCCTCTCTTCTTAAAGTCTCCTAAGGATAGTATAATTTTATAAGTGAATGACTCCCTTAGAATCCTCTTAAGCCCAATTTGTCCTACCCCAGCTCCTTCTTTTGAAAGATAAGCAAATCTCAAAGACATAAATATGAGTTTCCAAAGGTCACAAAACTAGTTAGTAGCTGATTGTTAGTAAACATAGGTTAAATATTTTTACATTGCAGCGCTTGTAAATCAGAGATGATATGCAAAAGTAGATATATAAACTGTTTGATTCACAGAAGTTATTTCATAAAGTGCATATATAGAACAAAGAGCACCCTAACTAAAATACAAATGCTTTCTCGTCATTTTGTTAGAATAGCATCCAAAACTGTAGACGAAGTCTTTCCAAATGTACTCTTAGAAAGCATTTGTTGGACTCCGGCTGTTGGCATGGTCCTATAGTCTTGAGTACTAGAAGTGAAGCACCTTTATTTAGCAGTAATTACAAAGAGTTACTTAAGATTGATGCAGATAAATCATTCATGAAACTAGAACAAGATTATGAACTACATTAGTAAGTTCCTTCATTCAGCAATTTATGCCAAAGATACACTTTCCCTGACTTCACTTTTCTCTGCCTTGAGATAAAATGAGGATAACAGTGGCTATTTCTTAGGGTTGCTATAAAGATTAAATGAGCTGATACTTGTAAAGTATGTAAAAGAAGGCCTGACATATTATCAGTTTCCATTGACATTTCTACTTTCAAGGAACTTGTAATATAGTTAGGGAGGTAACATATGCACATAAAACATCTAAATAAAGATTCTCAGTAAATGCCCAAGTAAGCAATTCTGTAATGTATATGAGATCTGTGTGGTTTGTGAGTTTTTGTATTTGGACAGAGCGAGGTGGTTATGGGTTGAAATATGTATATTCTTGAATGATGAAGAAGTCTACATGGAAGATATGAACATTTGATTAGTAAAGGACAAATAAGCTTTCTAGGCATTGAGGAGAGCTTTAAGTGTATACAGTCAAAGAAGAGTGAAGAAATTAAGATTACACTGACTAAGCATTGAATGTTCACATTAGGAAATTGAGAGAGTTAAAGTTTGAGAAACTAGATTGCTAGTGTTTGGGTGAATTTGGAGAATCGGTAATTTAAGGCAAGAGAATATAGAGAATGTTCTAGGAGTTTTCAGGAATGAGAAAGATAAGTAGAAGGACTTATATCAGGTTCAAAATCTTCAATAAAGCAATGCTGCGTGATGAGCTGGTTCAAGGTGGCGCTGTGTGTGGATGCCAATATGGCCAGAAGTTTAAAGTAAACAGGCAACAATATGGATACTAATGTTGCCAAGGATGAGAATGAAAATGATGGCATTATAAAATGCTTTCTCTGTGCCAGTGACTATTTCAGTGCTTTGCAGGTCTTAACTTATTTAGTTGTTATAATGTTGGTATTATTATTATTACTCCCACTTTACAAATGAGGAAACTAAGACCTGTAGATGTTAAGCTGTCTTAATACGCTTAGGAAATGGTAAAGTCAGGATTCAAATCCAGGTGGTATGAATCCAGAATCCCGGCCCTTGACCACTGTGCTTCCTTTCTCATAATAGGAAATGCAGTCAAAGAAAAACAATAGAGGGTTAGAAGAAAAGATGTGAGCCAAGTGATGAAACATCTAGGAAGGTAAAAGTGAATCCTAAAGGAGAATGCAAGAGCAGGGGTAATGAGAAGTGTGTGATATAAAAGGATGGATCATATTAACTTCACATTTAGGGCAGCAATAAGAAGACATAAGCAGGAGCCAACAGCCAGTTTCTTCACCTCCCTCCCATGTTAGGAGAGGGAGGTGATAAAGCCTATAAAGTCATTCTGGATGACTGGGTTTCCCTGGATATGAGACAGAAGAGAGAAGAGATAAAGAAATAAGATACCACTCAGGAAATGGGAGAAAGGAGTTGGGAAAAATGATTTCTTTTAAGCTAATTGAACTGTTTAGGATATAGTATTGGCCAAAAACCAGTTGGTTGGATAGCCCATTGCATTCCTTTACCAAGACTTGTAGGTTTGGAGTGAACCATGAAAGGACCAGGAATTGACTTAATGCCTTCCAAAGAGAGGAAGTAATCATGACCTGCCAGTCCTACAAATGCAGACTACTAACCTGGTATGATGAAGGAAAGGACTATTTCTCAATGGCTTATCTTTGCCAGTACACAGTAACCAGCCCAGTGCTAGGAATATACTAGGCATCCAGTAGATAACTGCTACATGATCCAGTCATCATAACTGATAACGCCACACTTTTATTTTTTGGATGCTTTACTCAGTGACAGCATTTGTTGTGAATACATTTGGTGTAATATCATTAAACACATGTTATAATACAATTGAAATGTATTACTTAGAAGACACTAAGCTAAGTAGGTATTGAAGGATTTTCAATTGTATTGCATATTATGCTCACTTTTTTTTTTTTTTTTTTGAGACGGAGTCTCGCTGTTGCCCATGCTGGAGTGCAGTGGTGTGATCTCGGCTCACTGCAAGCTCCGCCTCCCGGGTTCATGCCATTCTCCTGCCTTAGCCTCCCGAGTAGCTGGGACTACGGGTGCCCCCCACCACGCCTGGCTAATTTTTTGTATTTTTTAGTAGAGATGGGGTTTCACCATGGTCTCAATCTCCTAACCTCATGATCCGCCTGCCTCGGCCTCCCAAAGTGCTGGGATTACAGGCGTGAGCCACCACACCTGGCCTGTCCTCATTCTTTTATTCATATATTAATTGTTCATGAAGTAATTACCTTAATTACATTAGTTCATGTATTTATTGAGTACCTGCCATGCGCCAGGCACTATGTTAGGTACTGGTGAAACCACAGTAAAACGAGAGACCTTGCTGGCTGTTGACTAAAGTTTATAGTGTGGTGGTGGAGAGAGACATTTTACCTATTTGTGTACACATGACTAATTGCACATGTGGTAAGTGATTCGTTTATGCAATGTTTGGACAACTAGAGAATTGACCCCTCTGTCAGATAATGGGGAAAGTTTTTCAGACCTAGACATCACAATAAATAGACTGCAGAGGAAACTAGACAGAAATGAAATACTTTTATGAATAAAGTGTTTCTTTCAAAAGTTGGGTATACTTGGTGTCATAGGCTAGTAATGAAAACTGGTTTGGTAGCATAGTTCTCCTTGATACAGCATCAGAAAGAGAAAGATTGAACATCCAATTTTTCATCAGCAACTTCTGTGATTTATTTGTTCTATATTTAGAGCTCTGTAATGCTTTCTCCATCTTTTGTAGTGCACAGATCATCCAGCAATCTCTTCTACTATAATCTATTTGAATTTGAATAATATTTGGGCTCTGAGAAGATATTTTGCCAATAATCTTATTTATATTCATTTAATCTCCAATAGAGTCTGCTCTATAGCAGCTTTCACATTACCCTAAAAATAAATATGTAGTAATTCACTAGATTTTATTTCAAAACTCTATATCCAATTTCTTTTCAAGCTGAGGTCTCTCAGTTTACTATTTAGCATGGATAATGATAGACTGGTTTTAAGCACCACTTTACATTAGGGTTCATTGAAATCTCTACTGTACTGAAAAAGAAATGGTTAAAAAGATAGCATTTGGTGTCATCTGTTCATATTTGGTTATTTAGAGCTCCCAGATTTTTAATACTCTTTCAGAACATGTACTTTAATACCACTACAAGAGCCAGAGGAGAAGCAGTGGTATTAGCCATGCGTGCTAGTGCTAATAACTGCTCCTGTTCTGGCCACTGAATCATTGTACTTTAATTACTCAAGTAACACAAAAATCCATCTCCTTTAAAAAATGAAAATGTTATCAATAAGGCTTAAGTCCTCTTGATCAATACCTCTAATCTGTTCCCTTGCCTACCATCTTTCTATACCTCTACCTCAGTTTTTCCCATGTGTATGTGTGTGTGGAATATGTTCTCTGGGGTATGTTAATATATAAATGGTATTATATATCATAATTTATGCATCATGTTATTTTGATACAAAAATGACTTGAAGCTCTATTGTTCATATATGTAGTTCCAACTTGTTTTTTTAACCACTGCTTAATATTTCATAATATGAAAAATCATTATATTTAGGAATTACTAATTACACTATTACTTGAGTAAACCCTTTTTGTACATTTCTCCTTTGGTACATGTCTTGCTTCTCTTTCCAGAATATATTGAAGTATTTTGATACAGTTCTAAATGAACTAGATGATTAGCTTTCTACCTGCTGCTAAGATGATTTGATTCACTAATTTATTCACTTCAGATACATGTATTGATCCTACATTTAAAAGTTGCTTGTGCTGGGACTGAAGATGAAAATGTATGCAGACCCTGTCTTTGACATGCACAAAACCAAGAAGAAGAAAACAAAACAGAACAAACCTGTGGTACAACTAGTGAACATGAGAATACCTTGATACAAGTTATGCCAGAGCCGTGGCCAACACACCGTAGTATTCAGTTAGACACATGGAGAAGAATGGCAGTTTATTCTGCTAACATATCTTGATGTTGTGCAAGAGGCTTATTCATTTAATAGTCACTTAAGTCGCCTTCACTATAACCCAGGCACTGTTTTAACTGCTTCACTGGATTAGCTCAATTAATCCTTGTAAGAGTCCTTTGAGGTGGAGGTTCTGTTAGTATCTATATTTTACAGATGGGTGTAAAGAGAGGTTTCTACTATTCAGGAGGTCTGACTCTAACTTCTGTATCTTAAATTCCTGCTTCTGTGCTGTTTTCCTAGACTGTTTTGTATTTGAGCAAATATTAATTACTTTATACTTTTTCAGATAAATACATGGTCTCTTATAGGAGACTGGTTTTCAAATTGTGCTCCTTAACTCAGTCAAGTTCCTTCTTCTATTCAGAACAGCTCTGTATTTCTTTATTTGGTTTATATTTCCACTTGAGATTTTTATTGGGACAAAGGATTCTCAGCCAACCTTTTTTTAAAAAGCACTCCTTTATAACAGGAAACCCTTAGATCTCAATCAAGTATTTATTCGAGTGACTCCTAAGAAGTTTTTTGGCTCTATTTGCTGGTATCTTTTTGGCATTTGTGCAAAGACGAGATGACCATTTGTGATCAAGATTTAAAGTCCAACTGCTCACTCTTCTAACAGCATGGCCACATTATTAGCCGAAAATCACATCTGAGTTATAGAGCTTTTGCTTTTGTCAGAAAAAAAACAAAGTAACTCCAGGGAATCTTTTATCAGTCACTTCTTTAAAGGATTGATTGAAATAATTGACACTTAAGACAGACACTCAAAAATAGGCACACTAATCATTTACACAAGGGATTTCCAACCCCTAGGATGTGGACTGGTACCACAGCCAGTCCATGGTCCGGTGCGGGCCCATGGCCTGTTAGGAAGTGGGCCACAAAGCAGGAGGTGAGCAGTGGCCAAGCGAGAATTACAGACTGAGCTCCGCCTCCCTGTCACATCAGCAGCAGCCTTAGATTCTCATAAGAGTGAGAACCCTATTGTGAATTCTGCATGCAAGGGATCTAGGTTGCGCACTTCTTATGAGAATCTAATACCTGATGATCTGTGGTAGAACAATTTCATCCAGAAACCATCCCACACCATCCATGGAAAAATTGTATTCCACAAAACTGGTCCCTGATACCAAAAAGGTTGAGGACTGCTGGTTTACATCTTGGTTTTTAAACTCCATTGTCATTTAAGAACATCAGAAAGTCACATACTCTGTATATCTTCCCTATCTACCTAATTTGAGGAGAGGCCGATGAACACAATATCCTTCTTGTGGCTAGATGGCCCTCATATAATTAACTATATAATGCATACTTCATATAATCTATCATCAAGACATTTTTTTCTCCTCTGATGAGATATTATGCTTTTTAATAAGTGATATGTAAATAGCCTATTGGGTTTTCCTTTTTATTTTAACTCCTGCAAAACAAGTACATTTTAATGCTCAATTTTAAAAAATTAACAGGTTTTGAGCTTTATTTTTAACTGCTACTACAGCGTCTTGTGTTGTGTACTTTATATGACATTTTAAGGAATCATAACTTTTTTCTTAAAGCATAGTATTTACTAGTAATCATTATTTCTTTAGGAAAAAAATGCAAATACTTTTCATGCTATTTACTCTTCTATAACCAAGTGATTTATTTATGAGATAGAATACACATGTAGTGAGTATGGACCGTGAGCTCAAAACAGTGCTGTAGCATTTGTACGAAATATAAAAATTAAAGGGTAAAAATAATGGTTATCATTTATTGAGTGTTTACTAAATTCAGGTACTCTTCTAATGTCTCTTTGTTTACTAACTCATTTAACTCTTGCAACAAACCTATGAGACAGGTTCTATTTTTCTCATTTTACAGATAAGATTTGTTCAGTTAGTCAACAGTAGAGCAGAACTCCACTCCTGGAGTCAATGCCCTTAACTTCCACTGGATATTCCTTTGCAGGAAAAGATACAGTCTTTGATTTCAAGGAGCCTGCAGTGTGTGTGTGGAAGTGAGTGATTAACAGACAACACTGCAAATTTAGTGTTTGATTAAATTGTGTGTTGCAGACTTAGGGTGCTATAAGTGAACTAGAGAGGAAAGTACCAAGAGTTGTCATTACTGATTGCCTATATATAATAGAAACCATGCTAAATGCTTTATATTTAATATTTCTATTCTTCACAACAATCCTAAAAAGTAGAATTTACCATTTCCACTTCATATGTAAGCAAAGACTCAGAAGTTAGTTAACTTACCCCAATTAATAGTAGTACTGGCAGAGATGTGTCTGCAGTAGTTAGAAAAGGTAGTTTATTGAGCTAGTAAGATTTATTCAAAGCCTTTAAAAACAGAGACAGTAATTAAGAAACGTTTATTTTTGATAGTTTTTTTAATATAATAATATTGTGACTCCTGGCGTATTATACACAAGAAAAATTTCAGGTGGGTCAACAACTTAATTTTTTTTTTATTTGAAGAAAAGAAACCTAAAAGTATGGAAAGATGATGGAGGTATGTATTTATAGTCTTGGGATGGAAAACTTTCTAAATTTGATATAAAATCCAGAATTCAAAAACAAATTTGCTCCATTTGCTATGTAATCTCAAATTTCTTATATAAGGCAAAAAATTCATAAAGTCAAAGACAACAACAAATTAGGAAACTGTAACATATATGTAAATCAAAAGGAAATTATTACCCATATACAAAATATTCTTACAAATCAAGAAAAAGACAAACAGGAAGAAAAATGAACAAAAAATATTAAGACAGTTCACAAAGTACAGCCCACAGAAGTATGAAGAAGGCTCAACTCACTAATAAGCATTACTGATTAAAATAATAATGGGAATTTCAGCAATTTGAGTACTGGAATAATAATGAATAACAAATAATGACCATTGGAGAATCTGAAGATAGTTTGGTATTGTCAATTAAAATATGCGTTACTTTGGCCCAACAATTCTACTTCTAGAAACTCATCCTTACAGAACTCTAGAATACCTGTAGGTGGATGTTTATTGCAGTATTACATTATTTATAATACTGAGAAACTGAATACAGCCCAAATGTCTGTTAAAAAGAGATTAGCAAATTGTGGTATACCCTTGCAATGAAAAGAGTGAGTTAGCTGTCTATACTACAGATGTCAAGAAGTCTCTAAAATATTTGATTTTATGAAAAAGCAAGGAACAATATCATTCTGGGTAAAAAATTGTACCCATTTGATCTTGCTAGGTATAGAGAGCTATCTAAAAGAAAATAACTAAGTGCTTACTGTCAGGATGAGAGACTTCCAATTTCTGATGACATGTTTTGGTCTTTTTTTTTTTTTTTTTTTTTTTGAGGTGGAATCTAGCTCTGTCACCCAGCCTGGAGTGCAGTGGTTTGACCTCAGCTCACTGCAACCTGTGCCTCCCTGGTTCAAGTGATTCTCCTGCCTCAGCCTCCCGAATAGCTGGGATTACAGGTGCCCACCACCATGCCCAGCTAATTTTTTTATTTTTAGTAGAGACAGGGTTTCACCGTGTTGACCAGATTGGTCTCGAACTCCTGACCTCAGGTGATCCTCCCGCCTTGGCCTCCCAAAGTGTTGGGATTACAGGCATGAGCCACTGCACCCAGCTTCATTCTTTAAGCAAGTATTTACTGAAGGGGCTGCAATTACACACCAACTTGGTGCCTGACTTTCCTCCACACTGGCCCCGCCTAGTCTCAGCTAGCCTCTGCTGCCCTAATGGTGTCCAGTGACCATATGTGCCACTTTTCACCTTCAGGTACCCTAGAATGTTGAAAGAGACTAACAAAGAATGAAACTTGAAGAATATTGAAGCAAAAGCTTGAGGTTACTCTGTATCATGAATTAAGGAATCCTTCCTGACTAGATGGAGCCAAGAATGGACACAGGCCCACAATTCCTCACACACAATCTCAATATTCAAAAAGCACTGCAAACAAAAATTTTGTTGTAGTCACTTGTCAACAATACCTAACCTGACGTGAATTTGTTTGGCAGCAAAATCTGATCTGAAATCACATGAGGAAATCTTGTAGTCTATGTAAATATTCGTACATTTTGCTGCATAAATATAATGTTTTATTAAGTGTTGCTCTATTTTATCTTTCTAAAATACAAACAATTTTGAATTTTGAAACACAATTGGCCCAATACATTTCAGCTAAGAGATTTTGGACATGTACTCAGAAATGATTTATAGACTATGTTGAGAGTGGTGCCTGCTGGCTTTTTGCAATGTAGCAGCCCTGAAAATTTTTATAAACAATTCTTATCATTTATTCTTATCTTTTTTTTTTGAGAGGGAGTCCCCGCTCTGTAGCCCAGGCTGAAGTGCAGTGGCACAATCTCAGCTCACTGCACTCTGCCTCCTGGGTTCAAGCGATTCTCCTGCCTCAGCCTCCCGAGTAGCTGGGATTACAGGCATGTACCACCACACACACTAATTTTTGTAGTTTTAGTAGAGATGGGGTTTCACCATGTTGGCCAGGTTGCTCTTGAACTCCTGACCTGAAGTGATCCTCCCACCTTGGCATCCCAAAGTGCTGGGATTACAGGCGTGAGCAACAGCGCCCAGCCTATTCTTATCATTTTTAATAAATTCTTAGTACCATGCTGGGTTCTACAGGGAGCTATAAAAGATAAATAAGCCATATTACCTAACTTCATATAGTTTTCGTTCAATCATGGAGTTTATCCCATATTCAAGTATAATATAGGTAATATATAAATCAAATGTGTTTTTGATTTCAAGGGGAAAAAGATCATATTTAGCTAGGGAGACCAAAATGTGTTTTTATGGAAAGGATAGCATGCTAGATGGGCTGCTGAGAATGCATGAAATTTTTGATAGCAAGAATTGTAATGGCTTTTGTAAACAAAAACTACAGACTGAGCAGAAGGACAATTTGGCTAAAGCATGGAACATGGTCAGAATCCCTTACGATTATATATAAATTATTTGTGTTTTTTCTAGGATAATTCTTTTCATGAGGTTTTGAAAGAGATCAGTGACCCCTTATTCCCACCCCCAAAAAAGTTAGCTTACCACTGCTTTAAAGGAATGGTGAGGATTATTATAAAACAGAAGGTCAAGAAAATGTGGAATGCACAATGGGGTGTTTACAATTAATTGAGTAAAGAGTGAGAAGCCCCTAAATATTTTTTGGGCAGTGTAGTGGCATATTTTAATATTTAAGAAAATTAGTATATCAGCAGTATATTGGAAAGATTAATGTCAGAAAGGTAAGGGACAAGGAAAACAGTCTGGGGATGGTGCACTAAGGACCTGAGCCAGGGTTGTGGAGAGAGGAATGGGTTCAATGGGTAGATTGGAACCAATTGAGAAGGGTGATGAAAGCGACACAGAGAATTGTGGGGGTGGGGGACGTCACCTTCAGAAATAGGAAGTACATGATCATTTTACTCAGTAAAGGAGTGATGTTGAAAGTAGTATTTAGGAAGGATTATCCTAAAAGCACCATGCAGAATATATTTGTACAGAGATTAGATAGCTTGAAGTCAGAGAGAACAGCTAGGAAACTGGTAACACAGATTCTGAGAAGTAGTTTAATTTCAAATTGTTTGTATTATATTCTACATAATGTCCTCAGCAGGATATTGAAATAATATAATTTTTGTGCACAAAATAACTTATGAGAATTGAGATGTTCTGGTTTGTCACTTCATTTAGTCGTCTGCTTATTTATTAATTTATACCAAAAATAATGCCGTTTTGTGCCTGGATTTGTGTTAAATATTGAGACTCAAAAATGGATGAGCCAAGTTCATAACTTAGGAGAAAGGCACATAAACACGTTGCAGAAATGCAGTCTGGTAATATCTATGAGAGGTGTGAGCTGAGAATTGTGGAAGTATAGGACAGGAAGATCTAACCCTGGTGTTTAAATGCGGGGTATGGAAGGAGAAAGTCTGAATCCTGACTAAGTATTAGACTAAAAATATTAAATCTTAAAAATTATTGTAATTTCAAAGTTTGTGGCAACTTTTTTGTAATTAACAGTGGAGACCACAATGGTTTATCTTCTTTAAGCAGAGCACTTCAGTGAGTGTTTCTTTGTGCAAAGGCCCATCCAGAGGCCACTTTGGATGGGGGGGCGGATGAAAGTATGAAGAACTGAACCTCTCTATGTACTATTTTAATAGAAATTAGGGAATTGTAGGCTAGCAGCTGGGGCAAGGAGTAGGAAATAGAAAGGGCCTAACAACTGAGTAGGAAGCAAGGGCTCAAGGAGAGTAGATGCCTGTGAGAATTTCCCTATTGCAGGCAACAATCCATAAATCCCTAGGCTGGTAGTGCCTGATAGCAAACTTGGAATTGTTTACTATCTCATGTTTTAATTACCTCCAGCTACCTCCCAACCCTTAAGTAAATTTTTGCTGTTTACATTTTCCTTTATAAAAGGATATGCATTTCAGATTGCTGACCTTTCCTATGATGACAAGTGTCTCAGTAGTATGATACTTAGAAGATATATAGGCCGGGTGCAATGGCTCACGCCTGTAATCCCAGCACTCTGGAAGGCCGAGGTGGGCAGATCACGAGGTCAGGAGATCGTGACCATCCTGGCTAACACGGTGAAAGAAACCCCGTCTCTACTAAAAATACAAAAAAAAAAAATAGCCAGGCATGGTGGTGGGTGCCTGTAGTCCCAGCTACTCAGGAGGCTGAGGCAGGAGAATGGCATGAACCTAGGAGGTGGAGCTTACAGTGAGTGGAGATCACACCACTGCACTCCAGCCTGGGTGACAGAGCAAGACTCTGGGAAAAAAAAAAAGAAGATATTTAGCAGAAGGTACAGTTAATCTGCCCCTTCAAGTTAAAGATAATGTTCATGATAGAAAAAAGGAGGTAACTTCTGTTTGAAAGACACTGTTGTTTTGTAGATAGCATTTTGAAAACAAGTCTTTGGGGATGATTCCACTGTTATTTGATTTTGTTGTGAAGGTATTATAAGAGATCAAAATTTTATAGTTTCATACATAAACATTTTGAAATAAGATTTTCTAACTTGCTAAAAAATCTTCCAAAAAAATTCAGTTAGGTTCTGAACACATTTCATAATAGTGGCATTTATTGAACACATATGTCAGGAACTTGGCTAAATGTGTTATATTAAACACAAAGATTTTAAATCACTTGCACAGATAAATAGTAAATAAAATGGTAGAGCTGAGATTGGAACCCACAGAACCTTCTCTCTTATTTGTTAATATTACCTCTTATTCATTATCTAGTGTCTCTTTGTCCTAAGTATTTGTAATGAAAATTGATTGACATCAGGGAGAGTAGATACTTGCTAGCTGAATTTCTGGGGTAAAAGAAGCTTTTCATAACTGGTATGTGGAATTGAAAGTGAATATTATGACTAGATAATCTGCCCTGCAGACAGTCCCCTCATTCTCCATGGCTTCTGGGATGGCTGTCTTCCACCTTCTCTTCTCAGCCTGCCAGCACTCCCCTGTCCTCACTTTCAGCTAACAGCCTTGCTTCCTAATTTTCGGAAAAAAACTTTCTGAAATTGCTACCACCATCTGTATGGACAGAAGTGGCCTCTGAACTATAATCCCATTTTTCTGGGGTTACCAGAGCTCTGCAGTTCTCAAGTCCAGCCCTCTCTCCTTGACCACTAGATCCAGATTACTCCTGCTGACTCAAGGACAGGCTCTACCAATCCTCCCGCAACATTTAAATCATTTTTCCCCTTCTCTACTGGATAATTCCTGTCAGCCTACAACATGCTCTTCCTTTTCTCATCTTAAAATATAAACAAACTACTTTTGTTGATTTCACTTACTCTTCAGCCACCAATCATTTTTCTTCTTTTACAGCAAAACTCTTCTAACACATTTTCTTCTCCCATTCACTCTTAAACCTAACCCAATCAGTTGTTGACCTCTGTCACTCCACCAAAACTTCTCTTGTCAAGGTTACCATGTTACTAAATCTTATGGGCAATTGTCAGTCCCATGTTACTTGACTCATTGGTAGCATTTGACAATTGATCACTCCACCTTCCTGCAAATACTTTATTCGCTTGGTTTTCAAGACACGACCCTCTCTTGATTTTCCTCACTAGCTCCCCTTCAAACTGTTCTTCTCCTTTAGCTTTTAATATGAGAGGGTCCAGTGCTGAGTATTCTGAGTATTTGGTCCTCTTCCCTTCTGTTTATATACTTACTTCCTTGGTTATCTAATCCAGTCTCCAAACTGTGGATAAACCACCCAA